>NC_000001.11:208184587-208336102 GCF_000001405.40 Homo sapiens
CAGTCAATCTTGAAAGCTGTTGACATGATGGAGATGGAATGAGAGATGTTAAAGCCAGATATTGGGCACACCCAGCAAAGCCTCCCGCCCAGCTCACCCTTGAGCCTGCGCTGCTTTACTCACATTAAGAGATCCGCTGGTGCAGAGAAATCACAAAGAGTACACACACACACACACACGCCTCATGCAGTTCCAGGGAGATTTCTGGAAAGAATCTTTAGCCCAATTTCTCAGTAAGCCTCAGCTGTTCCCCCAGGCTTAAGCGGGGGGCCAGCAGATGGTCCCAGCTAAATAGGCAAGCCTCCCAGTTCCTCTAAAAGCAGGGTCTGGGCCCTTCCAAGCCCAACAGTCCAATTAAGCTTTTTGCCCACAGGTGGAAGCAAAAATGAATTTGGGGCCATTCTTCCCTTCTTTTAGGCATGGAGCACTCAGCCCTCCCATCAGCCCCCTCCCTACTCCTGGCATTGGCCCATAAGGAATCCCTGCCTCTCACACTCTGCTCTGAACATTAGGTTCCTCAGGGATCAAAGACTCCCAGAAAGATTTCCTTCTAAGGTGTCTTCTAGGCTGCAGGGATTTGACTGAACCGTTCAAAGGAAAACTCCTGGCTTGGCCTTGTTAAGGAGGCCCTCTCAGTCCAGGAGGTGGGGCCTCTCAGGATTAAGGCCACAGATCCAGGTACCTTCGATGATGTTCTTATTTCCTTTTCCCAAGGGCCAGAAAGTGCTGCAGGGAGATCCTGGTGCCCTGCTCTTCTCTAGAGGCCTCTCCTCGCTGCAGAGCTCATTGGCATGACTGGCATAAATATATCCATATATCTCTCTATAAATATACATGTCTTTAGCTATATATATCTTTTCTTCTAAAGACTTGGCAAGAATTCCCTACAATCCTTTTCCATGACACTATAGAAAATCAGCAGAGTCATCAGTTTGATGGTTCCCACAAAGACTGCTTGGGGTTGACCTCTGCAAAGCTCCCTTGAATCTTGCTTCCAGTAACCCAACCTCTTCAGCCCTCGCCAGCCCCCAACCCCCTGGCAACACAAAACACAACTCGATTTCCTGAAGCTGAAGCTGCCCCTTTATTCCTTGTTGGTCTCTGAAAGCAAAAAAAAAAAAAAAAAAAAAAGGAAAAAAAAAAAGAAACTATCACTTTTGAGCTATTGTCTTAAGAGAGTAATAAGCTTTGTGTTCCTCCAGCTGGCTGCAAAAGGGAATTAGTTGTGCAGTGGGATCCAATGGCACTTAGAGACAGGTGTGGCAAGGAAGAGGTGCTGGTGGTTTCAGAATGGGCCACATCTCTGTGGGTGAGCAGGAGGGCAGGGCAGATAGAGGTGGTGTCTATCAAGACTTAGCAACCACTGGGGCAGCAGACTAGATGTAGCCCTCCCTGCAATGACTCCTTGCATAAACAGAAGAAACACCAGTGTACACGCACAGGTGGGGAAAGCATCCCCATGACTTTCTGAGGGAGTTATCACTAGGCACAGATTCTGAGAGCGCTATCTTCATCACCCTGCATCATCATTTGTTGGAAGGAGGCCCAGGAGGGTAGGAGGAAAAGGCTGGCTCCTCCGTCTTTTTTAAATCCATCTTTCCTTCTCCACCATTAAAGGCTTGGGTAGGTGGAGACAACCCCTGTGACTTCTCTTTGAGGTATTCAGATCCTAGCCACATGTTGACACCATATTTAATCCTGAAACAGGTTTCCTTTTCTTGATTTTTAAAGTGGGGGTTGGGAGAGGGGGTTCATAAATAGAGAATAGAAAATGCAAAGGAATAAGAGAATCAACAGAGAAATGTACAAAATGTAATTTGGCAAAAAAACAAACAAACGGAAAAAAACACAATAAAACCAAAACCCACAACCACACCTCCCATAGCCTTTCTTGTTTTGTATTCTCTCTTTTTAAAGTTGGGTTGTTATCTTTGCAACAGAGAATGCCAGCAGGTGTTGCTGGCAGCTGTTTAATGACAGTGTCAAGAACATCTTTCAGAAAGGTAGGCTTGGAGGCAGGAGGCGGTGATGGAGAAAATGGGATAGGGGGAGAGTAGGTGGCCCCACATCTGTAGAGAAGTAGCTAAGGAATGAAGGGCTGTCCTGGGAATTGCAATGTTATTTTATTTTTTTTTTTTTTTTTGAGACGGAGTCTCGCTCTGTCGCCCAGGCGGGACTGCGGACTGCAGTGGCGCAATCTCGGCTCACTGCAAGCTCCGCTTCCCGGGTTCACGCCATTCTCCTGCCTCAGCCTCCCGAGTAGCTGGGACTACAGGCGCCCGCCACCGCGCCCGGCTAATTTTTTTTGTATTTTTAGTAGAGACGGGGTTTCACCTTGTTAGCCAGGATGGTCTCGATCTCCTGACCTCATGATCCACCCGCCTCGGCCTCCCAAAGTGCTGGGATTACAGGCGTGAGCCACCGCGCCCGGCCTGCAATGTTATTTTGTACAAAATCCTTCCTGTAGGAAGGTGGGGGAGGGACAAGAGACATTTTTCAGTTTTTTTGCAGACCTAAGAATTTTGAACCAGAATTACATGCAGCTTGCTGTGTCTCTGGACAAATATCTTAGCTCCTCACTCAGCATCTACCACTTTCTTCTTTATTGTTAGTGACTGTCATGAGGATTAAATGAAAGGACCTGGAGACCCTTAGAGAAGGGTCCCAGCAGTCTCCAGGGGTGATTAGCCCTGCAATTATTCCACATCTGGAAAAAGTAATAGCTCCCAGACTGGCAGGGTTATGTCATGGACCAGCAAGAGAAAGATGGTTTTTGTTACATAGCCCAGAGAGGCTGATCTTGGTTCTGTGTGTGTGAGAGAGACCGTAGGGAGGCTGGATTTGGAAGGGAGGGAAGCAGGAGCAACAGCCTGAACAACAAATGCGCTCCAAAGAACACCACCTGAACAACTCGAGCTCTGAAATCTTTTCTGCACTGTGCTTTCAGCTTACTTCCCTAAAGCTGACTCATGAAAGCAAACCTGAAACTCTCACAAGATAAAAAATTTTTTAGAGACAGCAAACCAGCCAGTGCTATGCGAAGACGTCTGCAAGGTACTCTGTCCTATCTGGACTGTTGTTTCCCTTACTGTTAGCACAATGACCAGGATCTTGTAAAAGTCCCTGGCAAGTATTTTCTCCACCTTCAGAGCATTACCAGGCCATGTACTTGCGGGATAAAACCTGCAGGTGTTAGGTTCTTTCTGATGCTGCTGATCAGATGGGTCAGGTAGCAGAGAGAAGGCAGCACTAACCCTTACATTTGTGCAGTGGTGTGCAGTTACTGTTGCTTTCACACGTATCATCTCACTAAATTGCCCCACGATCCTGTGAAGGAGGAACTGAAATGATCAATGTCTCCATTTTAGGGATAAGAGAACTGGGGTGATTTCCCCAAGGTCAGTGGCTGTAGAGCTGGGACTGAGCTCAGCCCACCCGATTTCTGGGCTTCTCTCCCCCAGCTCCACATTGCACCACCACCAGTGACGCGCACCTGAATATTTATGAGAATGGAGCCCCCAGATCACGTCTTGAGGGGAAGAACAAAGGAGGCAAGCTTATCTCATGCCTTCAACTAGGCACCTGAGGAAAGAACCCATGTCCTATTGTCCTTTACACCTACTGTAGCCCAAAACCTACAGAGATTACATGTCACGAGGTTCTAGCAAGATAGGCTGAATGCCTGCTTTAGGGTAGGATAGAAGAAAAGACACAACAAAGGTATGGAGCCCTCATGGAGGCTGTGAACTTTGAGCCACAAAACTAGGGATTTATGCCTAGGATCCACTGCTTACTGACTCAATAATCTCAGTTCAATCCATTTGCAAAATGGAGATATAGGCTGGGCGCAGTGGCTCACGCCTGTAATCCCAGCACTTTGGGAGGCCAAGGCAGGAGGATCACCTGAGGTCAGGATTTCAAGACCAGCCTGGCCAACATGTCGAAATCCCATCTCTACTAAAAATACAAAAATCAGCTGGGCATGGTGGTGGTTGCCTGTAATCCCAGCTACTCGGGAGGCTGAGGCAGGAGAATTGCTTGAACCTGGGAGGCGGAGGTTGCAGTGAGCTGAGATGGCACCACTGCACTCCAGCCTGGGCATCAAGAATGAAACTCTGTCTCAAAAAAAAAAAAAAAAAGAAAAAAAATGGAGCTATGAATCCCAACCTCTCAAGCTGCTATGAGAACTAAATGAGAGGAGAAATGTGAGAGTATACTGCATACTGCAATGTGTAAAGTTGGATCTTCTGGACCCTGCAGTTTCAGAAGTCACCAAAGATAAGATGGCAGAGGGTTGTGGAAGCTCCTCTTCTTCTGTAGAGCAATGCTTATGTACTCCAGCCCCAGATGGGCTGGATGTAGTGCACCCAGGAAAAGGGATAAGCCACCTTAGGATGGAAAGGACCTGGTGCATGGCAGGTTCTCTATGAATGAGTTTCCCTTCTGTCTCTAACCATTCCAAAACATTCTCTACGAGAAGCGCAAAGAAAAGGGCAAAAAGACAGTCATGAGGACAATCACAAGGACAAGGCATCTTGGGGATCCCTCCAAGCCTTAAGATCCTGAATGATTTCAGGCTACATTTTTAACAGGGTGAACCAGCACCACTGCTTAACACTTCCAGCCACGTTGTGAATCTCTGCTAAGTTAGGGATGAAGTGGGAGAGTCTTATGGTGATGACTGTCACTCACATGATCATGCCTGGGGAGGTGGTGGCAGCTGTGGTCTGTGTTACCTGACTCTAAACAGAGGCAGAGCAAAGATAGTGATCTTGTGGTTGACTCAAGGGCCTGGGCTGAGCTATACACAGGGCCCCACAGGAGGCCCAGAATAGGGAGGGAAGCATGGTCCAGCAGGCCCACCAGAAGGGAACCCTGACTCCTCCTCCCCTTCTCTTTGAGCTCCTGAGAAGAGATAAAGAGAAAAAAAAAAAAGCGAACCTGGGGCTGAGGCAGAAGGATGAGCATACTGGCTAGCATTTCCTGAGTATTCCCTCTTTGCCAAGTACTGCACTAAAAGATGAACACAACTGACCTCACTTAACTTTTGGAGCAACGCTGCAAGGTAGGTATCATCATTCTCATTTTGCAAATGAAGAAACCAAAGCTCAATAAGGCTAACTGATTTACCCAATATAATCCTCTTAGATGATAGGATTTGAACCAAGATAGTCTGATGCCAAAGTCCCTACTCTTCCCACTACACACACAGCTCCTGTCCAACAGCCCGCCAGTCAGGAGCTACAAATAAAATCCCACACCTCCTACAGCAGGCACTAAATCAGCACGAGGAGAAGCTGGAGGTTGGCAGAGAGAAGATCTTTATGAAGACATTTCAGGAGCAGGAGAAATATCTCCACCCTCTTCCCAGCCAAAAGTGTGGTTGTATGTGTAAGATGAGAAACATTTTGGGGTGGGGGAAGGAGGGTGGAATCTCAAGCTAAAATTACCACCCACACCGAAGTCACCCTGAAGGCAAACTGGGGCCTCAAGGATTTTGTTCGATTGTGTATGTGTGTGTATATGAGTATAGATGGTAGACTGGGAGAGAAGGAGGCAGAAAAGGGATTTTTTTTTCATTCCCAGTGGCAGTTATGAACAACATTTTCCTCCCAAAACTCATGCTTCTCCATCACTTACTTACGTCATGTTTTCTCCTTTCTGACCTTGTGCAGAGAGCTAGCATGCTTTTGTAGATGAGTAGACTTTGGGGCTAGAAGACCTGGGTTTGCTTTTCAAATCCACTACCCACTGAGTTGTTTAATAACTGCATATTATGTGAATAAATGGGAAAATAATTTAATCTCCCTGAGTCTTAGTTTTCTTATCTCAAAAAATATAGTACCTATGTTGCAGGGCTGTTAGAAAGATCAAATGAAGAGTGCTTAGCACAGTGGTTGACACATGGTTGACGCTCCAGAAATGTTGGTTGCCTTGATCAGGGTTTGTCAACCTCAGTACTATCGACATCATGGACCAGATAATTCTTCATTGTGGGGAGGAAGTCCCATCCATTGTAGGATGTTTAGCAGTATCCCTGGCCTCTACCCACTAGACGCCAATAGCTCTCTTTGCCCAAGACATAGCAATGAAAAGACATCGCCAGATACTGCCAAATGTCTGCAAAATCACCTCCAGTTGGAAACCACTAGCTTGATGTAATTAATACAGATATTAGCAACAAGTAATATGTTTGACAGCACATAGCAGGCCCATATGTAATTGTCATTGTTTTTGAATGAGTGAGTAAATAATTGTATGAATGAACACTCTAATAATGGGCGTTGCTCTGCATCTTCGAACCTTTGGTGGCAGGAGTACAGTCTACTCAGTCCTGGACCCCAGAAGGTTGATGGAATCCTCTGTAGTTGTCTTTCAGTGCAGACCTGCCATCTGCTGGGATTTGCAGGTGGGGCACTGACAGGTGAGGGAGGCTATGAGCTAAGTGAGGCTAAAGGATTTTTCCCTCTGGAAAAGGGCGGTCCCAAAAGGATTCGGCTGCAGCACTGCTGGCTTGAATTTCTGTGTATGAGATGTGACTGCCTGAATCATGTGCACTCCCCAAGAACCTTGTTCTTTGCCCATGGCCAGCAACAAACATTGGTAAGAATCCCGGAGGTCCTGCCTCACGCGGAAACACAGCACACATCTGCAAGCGCCTTTGACTCACATCAAGAAGGTGCCTCAAAATTGGGGCAGAGAGATGGCTCCTGTCCTAGGATTTCTTCCCCCTCCCCACTTTTCTCATCTCCTTTTCTTCTTTTAAAACATTTATTGAATGTCTTTTATATTAGCTGTTACTATAGATAGAGAGATAATGAATGCAGCCCTTATCCTAAAATCGTGGCGCGTACTGAGGGGAGGGAGAGAGAAAAGAAAAAGGACAATTATAATAGTACATACAACAATAATATTACTGTTTCCTGAGTACACACTCTATTTTGGACACTGATCTATATGCTTTACATGTATTAACTCATTTACATGTCCCTCACAATGAGCCTGGGAGGCAGAAATTATTATTATTTCCAGTTTGCAAATGAAGAAACAGGCACAGAGAGGTGAGGTTATTGTCACTATGTCGCACAGATATTAAGGGAGAGAATCAAGAGTTGAACACAGATACTTTGGCCCCAAGGCCTGGACTCTTCTTAAACGCAGTGCTCTCCTGCTCTGACAGCCACATAATTGGGGTGCTATGAAGCACATGGGGGCTTCCTAGAGGAGGTGGTGTATCAGCATGTGGAAGATGAGGAGGTGTTAGCTGGGCACGGGGCAGGGCGAGGGGTTCCTAGTCTGAGAACACTGCACACAAAGCCCCGAGGTGAGAACAAGCATGAAGACGTGTCAGGGTCAGGGATCCACGAGGCGATTCTTACCCTCCCTGAGTGGACTCCCTCCCCTTGCCTCATGGTGGGAGTAAGACCCACCCAGCTGATGGGACTCCTACCTTCTGGCCTGATTTGGTTCTCTCAATATTGATTTGGAGCTACCTCTTCAGCCTCCTCTCTCAGCCCGTGCTGCCTGATTTGGTGTCACAACAAAGACCATGACCCTGACTTTGTCTCCCAGGTGTAACCTTCGAGTCCACTCTTTCCATCTGCTCTGATCCATTCTCCTGGTCTGGGCCCACTGGCTCCTCTGGCCCACCTCTGGGCCCTGATCTGAATTCTTCCAGGGTTGTCTTGTCCTGCTGCCATGGACACCGGGTTTGGGGATGGTGTGTGTGTGTGTGTGTGTGTGTGCACGTGCACACATATGGCAGGTGGTGACTGTGGTGCAGGTATGCCTATTACCCAGGGTACATAACATGTGATGATCAAACAGACCTAAAATGTCATCATCTGCCATTTGAACCTTTTTTTTTAAACAACAAAAAAACCATACTCCTAACCCTACTAGAAGAAATAGATAGATGAAATAGATGAAAGTAAGATACTTTGATTGAAGAAGGGTGGAGTTGGGAGTTGGGAGTGGCCTAGAACTCAAAGGCACACTTTTTAAAAACCATTAGACAGGCCAGGTGCAGTGGCTCATGCCTGTAATCCCAGCACTTTGGGAGGCCAAGGTGGGCAGATCACTTAAGGTCAGGAGTTCGAGACCAGCCTGGCCAACATGGAGAAACCCTGTCTCTATTAAGAATACAAAAATTAGCCAGGCATGGTGATGCATGCCTGTAGTCCCAGCTACTTAGGAGGCTGAAGCAGGAGAATCGCTTGAACCCAGGAGGTGGAGGGTGCAGTGAGCCGAGATTGCACCATTGCATTCCAGCCTGGGCAACAAGAGCAAAGCTCCGTCTCAAAAGAAAAAGAAAAAGAAAAAAAAAAAAACCATTAGACAAAGGGTCTTAATATTTTAGGGTCATAGACAACTTTGAGAATCTAATGTAAGCAATGGGCCCGCTACACAAAAAACTAAATCTACAAATGTTTGTAAAACATTTTTCTGGTAGATCACAGACCCCCTGAATCCTGGAACATAGATGAAAACTCTGTGCATCCAACTACCGCAATATCCTCTTCTTACTGATTTTGTAAGGGAGGGTCATAAGGTTTTGGCTGCTGCAGCACAGTGAATGATGAAACCCAGACAGTCCTGGCATTGCTTCATTTGCTCAAAGACAGCAGAGGCCCAGGGTTTGGAAAGCACAACCCTTTTTGGGCTCACATTTCCATGACAAGGGCATTGGTGTTAACATTACTCCCTCATAGCCCTAGGGCCCCTTGGTGCCAGAGATGATTTGTGCCTCAGTTTCCATACTCGTGTAATGCTACTTAGCTCACACATCTAGGCAATGATTAGTGTGGACAAAGGATGGACATCCATGTTCTAATCTCAGTGTCATTACTGAGTGATAATGACAAATCACTTGACCACTCTGGCCAGTTTCTTCACCCATAATATCGCAGCCCATGGGGCTGTTAGGATTACAAAATGAGATAAAAATGGGCAATATATGTATATTTATGAAAGCTCTTTATATAACTGAAACCAATGAATAAGTTTAAGAATGTTATTATTATCTTAGCATTTAAGAGACTGACAAGGAGATTCATACCAAGAGAGTTGCTCTCAGGCCTTGGAACCAGGGAGGATAATAAAGATCTCTTTCACTTAGAAAAGGCAAATTCATGCCCAAAATATAAAAAATTTGTCTGGGCTGGTCACAGTCGCTCACACCTGTAATCCCAGCACTTTAGGAGGCCAAGGCAGGAGGACTGCTTAAGCACAAGAGATTGAGGCTGTAGTGAGCTATGTATGATTGCACAACTGTACTGCAGCTGGGGTGACAGAGTGGGACCTGTCTCTAAAAAAACTTTTTAAATGTAAAATAAATAACGAAAAATTTTATTAAAAAAATTTTTTTTATTTTTAAATAAAAAACACTTGTCCAGGATCATTCACCTATGAGTCCTGGGGGTGGGAACTTAAGGGGGTTCATAGCTTAGGGCGCATAGCTCTGGATAATCCAGCAATGGTTTGTAATCCTGGAGTCGTTTACTCCATCTTTTTAGGCCTATCCCTCAGCCAAGGAAAGAGACTGTGAGAACAGCCTCTTGCCACAGTTCCCCTGGTATGTTGTGCTCAGGTTGGGAGCCCCTGTCTGCTACTAGATGCAAATCAATTTCCAAGTTCACAGTGATGGGAAAACTAGAAGGCTCTTCATAGGTTCTGCCTGCTGTTAATGAGCTGATCTGGGGGAAAGGGCCGAATGAAAATGAACAATCACTACCTAGAGTCACCGGAGTGCTCCATGCAGCCCACCCGATGTATGTGTTTTATGCAGTGCTTAGGCTGCTGGTGCCTGAGGCCTGAAGGCAGGTTTATGAGATTAAAGCCCAGTGCCCAATAAATAATTTAGCAGCTTACTGCAAAAAAAAAAAAAAAAAAAAGAAAGAAAAAAAAAACATACATGCAGTATAATATCTACCATCTCCAGCAGTCTGATGTGTACATACATTTTAAATGCACGCCACTTTCATCTACATGTCTCCATTTGATGTGGAGTCCAAAACCAAATAAGGAAAAGAAAAAGAACACCATTACCTCCATCCTATCTATACATCCTGCCACCAAGATGGGGCAGATGAGAAACAAAACCCCGCCATGCACTAATTATTCAGGGCTTTGCTGCTGTCCTTCTCCACCTCCCAGCCCCTCCATCTCCTTCTTTGCTTTTGAATGCTGTTTCGTGTGTGTAGGAAGAATCAGAAATCTCCACTGTTCTAGTATTCATTCAGAATTTGGTTTTCTTTTCCCAAGGGCACCTTTTCTGGAGCAAAGCTGGCTCAAGGTGCTGTTTCCTGCAGTGTCCTATGTGACTTGCTTGTGGGTACAGCTCAAAAGGTGGTATAAATACATATCACCACCATGGCCACCAGAGTCCACGCTGAAGTTTTAATAAGCCAGAAGTAGTGGTGATGGATTGGTAAGACTCGAGCTTGACAATAAGGGAGCAGAAGAGCATTAGAGAGTGGAGCAGGAAGAGGTAGGGGTGGGTGTCACAAGAAGAGTGAGTGGGAGAAGGCAGAGAAACTTCCAAGAAGTTGCTCCAAGATCTAGAAGCATCCGTGGGAGATGAGTGGCATGTAGTAATCTAGGTAGCAGCATGAGCTAGCAGGAGAAAATGATGCCAAAGCTCACCTTCTCCTTCTGATTGGAAAGTTGACAGGTTCTGATCACAGTTAAGGGATGCATGGCTTCACTAGGGAAGACAGGCATGAGGGAGAGTGGTAAGATTTCCCTCTAGCTTTTGTGGAGATCCGGGAGGGTGGCAACCACTTTGGCCCCAATCTCTTGACTCTCCTGTGAGTAGGGTAGACCCACAGACCCACCAGGCACTGTGCTTGTACAAGACTCCACCAAGCTTATCCCACCCCCTACTTTTTGCACCTCCATGGCCTTGGCTGCATTTACTGCCAGTGGCTGTGGTTTATCTCCCATTGTTTATGGCCTGGGACAGGCTGCCTACAAATAGCTCCCCAAAGAGTGGGGAGATTCAGGCATCTGCCATTCTGTGAAGCTTTTTCCAGAAATGAAAAGGATAGTCATAAAATGTTTTTTGGGGGGGGGGGTTAGGGGTGGGCAACATGCATCATAAAAAGCGTAATGGACTAATGCTAATACACAGACTGGCTGCAGCCCAGGGGTGTCTGCTGAGCTCAGACATAAATACTGGGGAGGCATCAAGGAGACAGATTTTTTATTTCTTTGATTTGATGGTGGGGGGAGGTTGGGCATATTTTTTCCTTCATTTCTCTGTCTATGACCATTCCTCTGGGGATACCACCAATCCGTCTGAGACTTACATTACCCAACATTTTACAGCTTCAAGAGGGGCAGCCATTAGACTACGGGAAAGACTGAAGGTACAAGGGAGGTGGGGGGTACATTATATGGCCTCATGGGGGAGTCTAGTTTTGGGGTTTGGTTGTGCCATACAAGACCTTGCTAGTGACAAGATAACTGAAGGGGGCGAGTATAGTTATGTTGGGCTTATGACAGAATGCACCTACGAGTAACCATGAACTTGCCCAACATCAGGCACATTTCCAATACTGAAGAAACTGATTAATGTTTTCTATTTAGTAGGAGCCAAAACAGCACCAACACCAACAATCACCCAACAGGAATCCCATCCCTGCCCAGCTTCAGGAATGAAAAGTAAAATACCTGTTTGGTAATTAATAAAAAGTTCACGTACTTGAGGACTCAACCAAACACACTGTTTCCTAGGGTTTTATGTTAAAAAACAAAAAACAAAAAAAAAACCATGTTCTCTGCTAATATTGACCATTAGCCAATTACTTTCTAGCCACACACTTGCCTTTAAGCATGCACTTACACAGAGTGGGTAAATGTACAGTGTATTTGTGGGGCAGACAACAGAAGTGAATGCAAATCCTGTGTTCAAGTAGCCTTGGTTTTGGGTGGTGCTGAGATGCTCTTGCTCCTTTCTCCCTTTCATGGAGGTGCTGAACACCTGTGAGTTTGTGGTAGGGTCCTGAGAATTGAATTGGAGAATGGACTCAGTCCACCTAAGACCCTGGGTTAACTGAGAAGAAAGAGAAACAGTAGAAACCATGGCAGTGGGGGCAAGAAGCTCCTGTTCACCCTTGTAGCGGGTGGGGAGAAAAAGACTGAAGGCATTTGGAATTCAGATTCCATTGCACCATTTGCTTTGGAGAAATTAATTTTATGTGTGTTGTCCCTGAGAATGGGTGGAAAATAATGTGGTATTCAGAAGAATGGGTGGCAAGGGCGGGGGTAGATGTTGGAAAAGAAAGCTATCTCTTTTGTCCTCTGTATCTGGGTATATGTGAGGTGAAAGAAAAAGGGGAAGGCAGGGAATCTTATTAGGTGTACTAGACCTGTGCTAAGAGATTTAGATGCTTATTGAACCTTATTATAATCCTTCTGAAGAAGGTATTATTATGACCTTTTTAAAGACAAGAACTCTCAACTCTGAATTGCTGAGAAGTTAAATAACTTGGCCAAGGTCACGTACTTAGTAAATAGTAGAGTTAGGACTTGAACTCAAACCATTGTCTTATCTCAATGATATAAAACAATGAAAGAAAAAAATCAATCAGTGATGGTTTAGAAGAAAAATTATTTTCAGTCTGAAGATCAAAAGAGCAGGGACTAGTGCATCCCTTGTGCCAACTGGTATAAATTATTATTCTAAGTGATAAAGGGAGGTCACCACATGTGCCATTGTTGGAAAAGGGTTAGATAACCCTTGTGCATGACGACACGTGATTACTCAGGCTGAGGGTGAATGGGGCACTGACAGTCACCGAAGCTGAACTGGGGGCTAATTGCCGGAAGAGACCGGGTTTCCCCGTGACTAAATATGCTGCAAATTTACCTGGAAAAGAATCTCAACATGAAAGAGAGCTAACCCTTGTGTGTGAAATTAACGGGTTGTCTGTGGCCCAGGGAGCTCTCTGGATGGGGACCCTTGGAATCAGTTGTCAGTAGGGGTCTTGCCCAATCATCCACCTAGAAATGAGGCCCAACTGGGCCCATCAGTAGGAGTTTGGCTCAGCCTCTTTCAAATAAGCTTAGGGTATGAGGAAAATTCCTCTTCCCTTAGTTGGCTAGTGTCTTAGCCTAAACTGACTCCCATTAGGTTAGACATAAAGCAGAACTTCCTGGCTACGAGCTGTCTGAAGCTTGACCATGAGCGACCAACATTGGCTCTGGCATATCCTTTCCTAAAGACTTTAAAGAGCAGCAGAGACACCTAATTGCTGCCCACAGCACTGGGTAGGAGAGAACCCTTCCTCCAGCCTCACCTTTGCTTGCTGGTATTTCAGTAAAAGGCCCAATACAAATATAGAATGTATAATTTTCACATCATTCTTGGCAAATCCCAGGTGCGCCCCATTAGCAGAGTTCCAAGGATGCCATTTTCTATCAAGAAAAAGACACGCCACATCGGAGTGCTTAGCTCAGGGCCCTATTAATAGCAATCCTAATTATATGGCTGCAAATTTAATTCATAGCAATGATTAGTGTCAGAATCAAAGGCATCAGGCATCAATATTGATGGAATTGCATAAGCCCCATAAACAGAGAACAAGCATTTGGGCCCATCCCCCCAGCAGTGGTCGGCTGTTAACTATTGCCTTAATGTCTCTTCCAATTTTGCCAGATCAAAATGACTCCATTTCTCAGTGTGCTCCTCCTCCCCACTGAAACCTTTGCCTGGCCAGCTCTGAATGGGTATGACTGGCACACAAAAGATCCCAGACAATGTCTTTGAAGAAGAGCCCGGGGGCTCCGAGGGATGCATGGGTGATGGGCCCTGGCCCCACGCTTTACCCAGCAGCTTTTGGCCTTGTCAGCAACACTCCTTTGTCTCTCCTTCAGAAAGCTCACAGCAAACAATGATGCCTGGAGAAAGGGGAGTCAGCTGGGGACTGTGTGTGGCACAAAAGGCTGCCACCCCGCGCATTGTGACCCAGGCCGAGAGGGATGGGAAGGTGGAGGAGGAGGCCTGAGGAGAGGGACACAAGGAAGACAGCGTGTGCCGAGGTGACAGCTGCCATGTCCCGAGTTTCCAGGGCACCTTCACTCAAAAGGGTGCAAAGAGGTAGCCCTTCCCCTCTTCTCTCGTGCATCTTCTTGCAGCTCTCCATCAGGCAAGTGGTAGTCTACACGTGGACATATGGAAGCGTAGAGAAGTTCAATTGAATGCTAAAAAGCTAGTGGTTAAAAGCACAGGTCTGGAGTCAGAGAGCTCTGGATTCAAATCCCAGCTCTCCAATTAGTAGCATTGAGACTCTGCCAAGTTACTTAGTTTTGTTGAGCCTCAGCTTGTTATATGTAAAATGGAAACAAGACTAATGATTTTTACAATTTGCAAGGGTTGATGAGGCTTAACTGAAACAAAACAAAACACTTAGCCCAGGGCTTAGCATATAGTAAGTGCTGAATTTATAGTGGATCTTTTAGGCCTATCCCCATTCAAAAATGTGGCATTCCTAGAGAGAAGACTAACGTGTAAGACTTGAGGGTCCCAATTCAGTGTTCTTCTGATTTGTCAGAACTTCTTAGCCCTGAGGCCAGAAGTGAAGTAGGCCTCCCTGCTGGGCAGGTTCTGGTAAGATCCCTGAGATGTGTGGACTGAGGGCTCAGGGATCCTGGTCACCCTAGATCAAGGTTGTATGGTCAGGCCTGGTACAAGAAGCTCAGCTGGATTCTTGCTCCAGGGAAAAAAATCCCTAGATCAATTTTAAGTTCGGCATAGGAAATGCCTGCATGCTAGAGAGGCCGAGGTCAGTCTGATGTTTTGTGCAGAAAGAATGTTCTTTAGGCCGGGCGCAGTGGCTCACGCCTGTAATCCCAGCACTTTGGGGGGCCAAGGTGGGTGGATCACAAGGTCAGGAGATCGAGACCATCCTGGCCAACATGTTGAAACCCCGTCTCTACTAAAAATACAAAAATTAACTGGGCGTGGTGGCATGAGCCTGTAATCCCAGCTACTTGGGAAGCTGAGGCAGGAGAATCGCTTGAACTAGGGAGTTGGAGGTTGCAGTGAGCTGAGATCACGCCACTGCACTCCAGCCTGGTGACAAAGTGAGACTCTGTCTCAAAAAAAAAAAGAAAAAAAAAAGTCCTTTAAAATGATATAGGGAAGGGCCCCAAAATTGGAATTCAAAAACCTGGGTTCCAGTCTTGCCTCCGTGGGTAAGAACCTGGGTGAGTTTCAGCAGATCACTCCACCTTTCTAGGCCTCAGCTAACTCATTCATAAAATAGAACAATACGCATCTTACTTGTCCAAAGTCAGTAGACCAGATCAGTTTTCTGAGGTCCCCTCCAGCTACTAAATCTATGATACACATTTAAGGGAACACTCTTGATCTTGCTTGATAGCGTCAATCTTATCCCCTGGGGGCCTTAACCCCAATTCCCCAGCCTCTTCCCCTCAATTGTCAAGCGTGGGAATTCCAGATTTGTTATTAAAGCCTGTTGATGCCATTTCTCCTTCCAGATTAGCTGGGGGACACTCAGCCTTTGCCATAGAAACCATAACACAGGGTAGGATGGGGATGGCTGATTGGGACAACCCAACGGCACCAGCTCCTGAACTTCTTTCCCACCTTGGAGCCTAGAAACCTTTCTGGAGGCTGAGGCCAGGAGAAGAATAGAACCACAGGAAGAGACTCAGAAGGCCAGAGCTCCAGATTCATTTTCACCACATTCATCTCCATGTATTTCCTGCCTCCCTGGACAGAGAGGCACATGCTAGCAAGAAGGAAAGAGACATTAAAGTAGCCATAAGCTCTTAGCTTGATCATCTTGGGCTACACAAGTGACTTAGGTATATGCTGGGCCCATCTCCACCCTGAAGTATTTGTCGTTCTGGTTCCAATTTCCACATCTTCCCTTGATTTACAACTTGACCCCAAGTAAGTCCATAATCTCTGAATTTCAGAATCACCATCTGCAACAGAGCAGTGAAATATCCCAATCCTTCTTTTTTTTTTTTTTTTTTTTTTTCTTTTTTTGGAGACAGAGTCTTGCTCTGTCGCCTAGGCTGGTGTGCAGTGGTACAATCTTGGCTCCCTGCAACCTCCGCCTCCCGGCTTCAAGCGATTCTCCTGCCTCCTGCCTCAGCCTCCTTAGTAGCTGGGATTGCAGGCATCCGCCACCAGGCCCAGCTAATTTTTTTTTTTTGTATTTTTAGTAGAGACGGAGTTTCGCCATGTTGGCCAGGCTGGTCTTGAACTCTTGACCTCAGGCAATCTGCCTGCCTCGGCCTCCCAAAGTGCTGGGATTACAGGCGTGAACAACCGCGCCTGGCCTCCAATCCTTCTTGATCATCTGAAAATTATATGGGACTAATGAACTAATAGAATCAAAGAGAATTTGGGACTGTGGCAGAAAAACATGGTAATAGTACAGGAGTGGTAGTAGTAATACTAGTAGGAGGAGTCACTCTAGCAGCAACAGAGGTGGTAGGCAGCAATGACTGCCATTTATTAAGCATCTCCTATGTCAAGATCTGTGTTAGACATTATATATCCTCCATGTCTGATACGCATAGCAATCTTGCCAGGCAGGCATGGGTGGTCCAGATGAATAAACTGAGGTCCCCTCAGATCACATAATTCATCGAAGGCAGAGTTGTGCAGCACAGGATACTGTGGTTGGTGTGGAGACATGCAAAGGGGGAGAATGGGCCTGTTTTAGTTAATTCTGCGAAGCTACAACAGGGCAACTGACACTTCCTTCAGCCCCACCCTGGGGAGGGGGTCAGTACATATTGTTTGGTGATATGAGACTGGGAAACCTCTCACTGGTGACTAATGCAACTGGATGCCAAAGTCCAGCAGGATTAGATTAGTTCGGCTCAGCTGGTCCCGTCTTCTAAGTATTTTTTTCCCATGACTCAGGGCTGGGAGTAGGGGACAGGATTCTCTTCCTCCGTCTGACCTTGCAAACATGTCACTGAAAAGGAGCCTGATCTGACAGCATCACTACCCCAGGGAGCCAGGGAAGAAGTGGGGTTTTGGGGAAGCCTCAAAGATATCAGTAATAATAGAAAGCACTTGCATGCCAAGCACCATATTAAGCACTTTTTACACATGATTTTATTTAATCCTTACAACAAATATGCAAAGTGCTTATTACTACCCCACTCCACAGGAAAAAAAAAATCGAAGTTCACAAGTTAAGTCACAATTGTAGTAATATTTAAATGCACATATGCCCATGTGCCCAAGCTCTGCACTCCATCCCTTCCATGAATTATTTCTTTATGATCTATTTTTTCCTTAGCACTTATCACCCACTAAACA
The DNA here is from genome assembly GCF_000001405.40 of Homo sapiens. Classification (NCBI taxonomy): domain Eukaryota; kingdom Metazoa; phylum Chordata; class Mammalia; order Primates; family Hominidae; genus Homo; species Homo sapiens. The sequence goes on from NC_000001.11 coordinate 208,201,902, forward strand.
TAATATATATTGTGATTACTTACTTTGTTTGTCTGACTTCCCACATTCAGATAATTTCCATCAGGGCAAGAATTTTTTTTTTTTTTTTTCTTTTTGAGATGGAGTCTCTCTGTGTCCCCCAGCTTGGAATGCAGTGGTGCAATCTCAGCTCACTGCAACCTCTGCCTCCTAGGTTCAAGCAATTCCCCCACCTTGGCCTCCTGAGTAGCTGGGATTACAGGCACAATGCCGCCATGCCCGGCTAATTTTTGTATTTTTAGTAGAGATGGGGTTTCATCATGTTGGCCAGGCTGGTCTCGAACTCCTGACCTCAGGTGATCAGCCCGCCTCGGCCTCCTAAAGTGCTGGGATTACAGGTGTGAGCCACCATACCTGGCCAGGGCAGCCATTTTTGACAGTTTTATTTTCTACTGCTTTATACCAAGCTCCTGGCACACAGTACATATTCAATAAATATCAGTTCAATAATGAATTATGTCATTTAATCCTTACTGTAATCTTATGATGCCGGTACCAGAACTGTCCTCATTTTACATTGAGGAAATTAAAGCTCAGAGGTCACACAGCTAGTAGGATGGAGTCAGGACTGGATCTCTCCAAAGCCCCTATACTCTTTGTTATGCAAATTGGTCCCTACCCGAAGGCAGGAGAGTGGACCAGGTGGTCTTTGTAAGTCCCTTCCGACTCAGAGATCCAGGTCCATGTACAAAATCCACAGACAGGCAAGGCTTAATGGTGTAAAAGGGTCTGTATTTTCCTAAAGATAAGACCTCTGTAAACACCAGCACCTTGGCCTCTTGAAAATTTTGCATAGCCTATTTAGGTCACCTGTATTCTGTGAGCTTGAATCATTACGCCCATCCCACCCATCCATAAAACACAGTTCTCTGTGTTTCACCTGCTTGGCAATAAAGCCCCGAGCTGCAGGAGCTCAACCTTAAGACTGCAAAACAGCCAGCTGAATACACAGCCTGAGGCCTCATACAAGAATTGTCCAAGATTGAAGTATATTAGAAACTACACAAAAAGTACAAAAAATAAATGAGTCTTTAGTTTCTCCCCTTTCAGAATGACTCTGGGAGATCAGGACCTCCTTCCCTGGGGTCTGCTGGGGATCTGGACAGAGCCGACATCTCCTGTCTACACCTGCCATGGTCAAGCAAGGAGATGTGCTGGCCAGAGTGTGTGTGTCAAGACGGGTGGGAGTGGGACATTCTGTAAATATGCCCCTTTCTTGTGCCAACCAAATGCAGCCTTTCCCAGCTTTCAGAAGACCAGTTCTGGGGACCCAAGAGGCCTATAGAACAACAAAACAAACAGCGAGCTTGGCGGCGGGAGCCCGGGCAGGGAGCCAAACTCATTACTAGGGATGTGGTGGTGAGCTCCCTGAACCACCACCCCACCCCTTCCATGCAGGCTCTGGGGAAGGGGAGAGGGTCTCTACTCCCCACCACCCCAGTGTCCAGCATTGCTGAGACGCCTGGGCGAGTTAGGGTATCAGATGGGCGGTCTCAGGTCCCAGGAGAGCCACTAAGTCTCTTAGATGTGGACCTGCAGCTCCGGCTGTTTACTCAATCAAGGGTTCATACTGAGAGACAAGTGAATCATTTCCACTCAGAGGAATGAGTGGCTATTGTTTGGTGGGGCTGGCACAGAGAGAAAGGCATGTTTCTCAGCTTTTCATCCAACTTGGCCTTCCATCCGCCAAGGCAACTCCACCCCACGAGAGGAGCCAAGTAACAGGTTAGTGTGTTTGGGGAGAAAGTCTAAATGCCAATGTCAATATTGGCATTGGAGGGTGGGGGTGAGCATATAACCTTGGGCAAGACATTTAGTATAGCTACAGCTCAGTTTCCTACATCTGTAAAATGGGGTAAAGATGCAGGGGCGATCAGCACCCTCAGTTGAAGTATTTGAGGAAGATGAAAAGAACCACGGAAACGTATCTTGTAAACAGTCAGTGTTATCAAATAACTGAGTAATAACCCCAGGGCTGAGGAGAGTTAATACTTTGGTGCTCCTGATGGATTCTTTCCAATGCCTAAGCTGCTACTGCAAGAAGCTCACAGTTTTCCTGGCTTTGCTTAGTAAATCGTTTGTGCGATTACAAAGAGAAGAATAGAATTGGGACGTCAGGGCTTCCTGTGGGCTGGGGACTGGAGACCTTGGGTTGGTATGTCCCTTAGGGAAAGGCAGAAAGAATTTTCCTTTAAGAATTTCACAGGCATTTCAGCAGCCACCATTAGCTAATGGGAAAGAAGGTAGTGCCAGAATAGGCCGGGGCCCTCCCCAGAGCTTGGAAAGTCTCTGAGGATTTGCAAAAACATCCCAAGAGTCATACAGAGACTGGTGGGGGAAGCAGTGGTTCCCTGGGCATTCTTTCCTGCTTCCCCTGTTATACACAAGCCTGCATCTGATCCAGGTGAAGCAGATGGCTGTCTGTACTATTCTGGGGCCCTCCAGGCAACAGTGTAAATGCTGTCCCCTTCCTCCAGCCAACATTTCTGAGATTACCACCCCACCCTCTTCCAGATGTTGTTAACCAGAAAACAAACTCCTTTCCTGTTACCCACCAGAAGTTGTCCTGTTTCCTTGACTCCTCATGCCACTGCCACGCCAACCCTCCTCCTCCCCTCACTGACCTACCCAACACATCATACCTTCCTTCCTTCGCAACCAACCACATCAACAGGAGTCACCGTTGGTGTCTGATTCTATTTCAATTCGTACAAATAGATGTCTGGCATAGAATAGGCACCCAATACATTTGAGATCACTTTCATGAGCACCTAATGTGTATCTGGCAGTGGGGATGGCGTGATGAATGTGAAAAGGAAGGCCCCTGCCCTCAAAGATCTGTGAATCTCAAGGGAGGTAGACACCTTAACAGCTGCTCCCTTGCCAGATGCTGTGGGGTCTAGGAGGGTGCCATGCATAGTGGTTGAAGGGACAGAATAAAGGACATGTCACAATGCTTGAGCAGCAGAAGAGGTTTCTGGTGGGGATGGAAAAGAGAGCCAGCAGCATCTGCTGCTGTTTAAGGTCCCTGGGACTAAGAGGCTAGAGAGCCTCGGCAAAACACTACCCCCCAGCTTCTGTGAGGAGCCCTGCAGGGATGTGAAACCTGGGTTGAGGCGGCAGTTTAGCAGCTGCAAATGGAAGGAAGAAACCAAAGGAACTTCACCCTAACCCAAGATAGTCCTTCCTTCCATTGTCCTGGCATCTTTCACTTGCTCAGCTTGACTTCTTCCCTCTTTTGCCCCATGGCATGAGCTTGATTTGCCTCCTGTCTCCGCCCTGAAACCTGGAAAATCATGTAAAATGAGTTTCCAGTTCCTGTTGCCACTCTTCCTCCATCTCCATCTGCTTTGGTGTTTGCACTTAATCTCTATCATCTGGACTCCCACTGCCTATTCTTAACCAGGAGGGATGCTGTCATGAGGAACTGGACCCAGACCCCAGGATAACCTGCTTTTCCCTCCCCTACATCTGGCCCTAGGCCTGCCTGTCCTCATCATCCAGGCCATGCCTTGCCCTGTCTGTGCCAAGCCCCTCCTACCTGACCCTGAGGGGCTTTCTGCTACACTAAGGGCAGGCTCAAAACCAGCCTCATTCCAAAGCCCACACCCAGGGGACCTTGGTCTTCCCTTTTCTGCTCCTCTTCTCTGCCTCAGCCTGTCCTCCTTCATCGCACGCTTTGCTGACAGAGCCAGAGAAACAGTGGCAGTATCATTGAGAAGATCTGAGATTTGATGCAGGAATCCCCTTGACAGCACCCTGGTTGGTGACCATCCAGTCTCTGCTTGCATATTTCCACTGACTAGGACCTCATTCCTTCCTGGGTCAGCTCTCACCATCACGGGACAGTCTGGCTGTAAAAAACGTCTTCCTTATATGAAGGGGAAAGCTGCATTGCTGTAACGCCTACCCAGTGGCCCTGTTCTGCCCTCTGGGGCCACACTGAATAAGCCTAATTCATCTTCCATAGCTTAATGGATAAGCCAGCAGATTGTAAAACCAGGTAATCACATTTCAAGTCCTAGCTCTGCCATTTTATTTGCTGTGTGACTTTATTATTATTTTTTAACCTTTCTTGACCTCCATTTCCTCATCTTTAAAATGGAGGTGATAATAGCACCTACCTCATAGAGTTATATAAAGAGTAAATGAGTTAACAGATATAAAGCTCTTCAATAGCATGTGACACATAATAAGTGCTCAGTAAATTATGTTATGTAAAGACAGCTGTTCTATGTCCTGCTTTATTCACTTTTTCCCTTCACATAGCATGATTCCCACATCGATCCAGCTCTTGTTTATCTGGCACTTGAGTTTGCTTAACACCCTCTTGCGATGTTATCTCCAAGGTAAAGTGGAGTCACTGTGTCTCGTGACATAGAAGCTGTTCTTCTATTATCATGATGAAGACTAACTTTGTTGAAGCAATATATCACAGAGTTGGCTCATGTCAACCTCACGGTTCGCTAAAATCCCAAGATCCTTTTCACTTGATCTCCTTAGGGCTTAAAGCCTCACAGGGCTCTCCCTCCCCTCTTACCTGTCCAAGTCTTCTGAGCTTCTCTGAATGTTGGACCTTCATTGCATATGCTTTGTACCTTCTCAGTGTGGCACCCAAGGTCTAGAATGCCCTTCTCTCCCCCAACTCATCAGTTCATCAGTTCTTCTGTCTCATCTAGTCTATAAGCAGACCCTGGTAATCTTCCTTTTCAGTAAAGCTTTGCAGATTGATCACACTATAGTTGCTGTTTTGTTTGAATTCTTCCACCCTTATGGTGAATCTTTGCATGTCTTCTTATCACCTGCAATGCACTGACCCTTAGCTTATGCAGCATTGCACATATAGGTTTTTTTTTTTTTTTTTTTTTTGAGACAGACTCTTGCCCTGTCGCCCAGGCTAGTGGCGCGATCTGGGCTCACTGCAACCTCCACCTCCCAGGTTCAAGCAATTCTCCTGCCTCAGCCTCCTGAGTAGCTGGGATTACAGGTGCATGCCACCATGCCCTGCTGATTTTTGTATTTTTAGTACCGACAGGGTTTCACCATGTTGGTCAGGCTGGTCTCAAACTCTTGTTTTTGTTTTGCTTTGTTTTGTTTTGCTTTTGAGATGGAGTCTCACTCTGTTGCTCAGGCTGGAGTGCAGTAGCATGATCTTGGCTCACTGCAACCTCCACCTCCTGGGTTCAAGCGATTCTCCCACCTCAGCCTCCCAAGTGGCTGGGACTACAGGCATGTGCCACCACGCCTAGCTAATTTTTGTATTTTTAGTAGAGACGGGGTTTCACCATGTTGGCCGGGCTGGTCTTGAACTCCTGACCTCAGGTGATCCACCTGCCTCGGCCTCCCAAAGTGCTGGGATTATAGGCATGAGCCACCGTGCCCGGCCTCACATACAGGTTTTGGGGACTTAACCTTATTCTGTCTGTTCCTTCCACATGTTTGCAGCTCAGAAGGCAGTGGTCTTGTCTAGGGTGCTCTCTATGCATCTTGCAGAAAGCAGTGTATAAGCAGCTATGTGGACACAGCACATAAGAGCGCCCTGTGGTCCTATCACTTCTAGCAAGTCTCTGCTTCCTCTAAACTTACATACACAGGGACATCCTGTTCCTACAGACCACAGTAGATGAGGGCTGGACAGCCTGACAGACGCCGGGAGAAGTGAGTAGTTCTGACGCACCCGGCTTCCCTTCCCTTTCCAAACTCTTAGCTATTTTTTTTCTTTATTTTCCTTCCTGTGTTGAAAGAGCTATGGGGCCTGGACCATAGTAGGGTTTCCTGGGGACATTCCATAAATTCTTCATGGGTTATTTCTCTGGAGAGGGGTGGGAGCAAGTAAGCTGGTAGATGGGAGGCCAGCAGGGGCCTGGGTATGAATGTCAAGTACCTCAAAGCAGCGTGGGTGGGAAGGAAGGGTGAGCTGCACAGAGGAGGAAGGAGGGGTGTCATGAGCTCATAGAAACCGCCAAAGAAAGGCCAAGCAAAGAGTGAGAAGAAGCAGCCAAATCACAGGTCAGAACAAGCTGTGGGTAACCACGCCCCCAGCTTTGCCCTTGAACCTGCTGACTGGTCTCCACAGTAACTTGTCCGTCAGGGTTTCAATAAGGCCAGGAGAACTTGGCCAACTCAGGTGTGTGACTTGGATAGATGCCAAGCAGCCCCTAGTGTGTGCTGTGCACGATGCATGGAGATATGGGGAAAGTCAACTCAAGGTCCCTTTGTATCTGGTTGGGTCCCTTTTCCTTTATTCACTTCTCATCCATCCATCCATTCAGCAAACACTGATTCCTTAATTCACATCTAGATCTGAAGAGAGTGAAAGCACTGGCCCCTAGCTGACCTCTGTAGCAAGCCTGGACCTGAAGATCATTCTCAGTCTCCCTCCCTGGGCTCTAGAGCTACTTCTTTAAGTAAAAATGGTGCCAAATTGGGTGTCAAGGCAAGAAGCAACTTGTCCTAGATCTCTATGCTTGGGCAAGTCAATTTTCTTCTCTGGACCTCAGTTTCCCTGTCAAATAATGAGAGTATTGGGCCAGGCAATCTCTAAGGTTCCTTAAAGAATGGTTCTATTTTTCAAAGCAGTTTTGAAGCCTATCCCATGAGTGAACACTCGGTGACAGGATTAAAGGGGAAGAAGGGAACAGTCCAAAAAGCATGACCCCTGCCTTTCACAGAACTTTCAAGAGAATCAAGGAGACAGAATGACACACATGACCTGGAGCAGTGACTGAAGGTAGGGGAAAGGTGCTCACGCTAGCCTGTGTGGTTTCTGCTGGCCCTTAGAGAGCCTGTGTGCCATTTAGGAAAAGGTGGTCCCTATGGGTAGATGACTTAGTAAGAGAAGTCCCATGAGCAGATGTTTATACCACAGGGTACATGATGTGACAGGGAGAGCTCAGGCTGGATTTCAACTCCCACTAGGCCCGTTAACACAATCCTCCTAGGCCAGGCACAATTTGCTCAACTGGATATGGTGACCCTGGCTGAGCAGGGAAGTAGCCGGCCTCAGGGTTCCAAGCTGAATTGCTTCTTGGTAGAAGCCACTTTTAAATCTTAGCAGAATTTCACACAGCAACTCCTTCCCTTCCCATTTTGGAAAAGCAAATGCAAGGACCACATTCTTTCTCTCTTCCATGTGCCGAAAAGCCAAGCTAGGGTCCCTAGTCCCAGGCAGAGTGGAGGGCACAGAAGAGGAACATGTAGGAACCTCTACAGCAAGTGAGGAAATGGTTAAATATCTTTGGTATCATGAGAACCAGAAGAAGCCTGGAGGGTTTAGCACTGCTAGGTGAACCCAGACCAGTTCTTCTCACCTCCCCTGGCAGTAATTCAGAACAAGCAGAACATAGAAATTCTTCCTTGGGCTCACTCCAGGTTACCCTCCTTCCACATTTCCAAACAACATCCCTCCCAAGGCTCTAAATGGATTAGGAGGAAAGAGCTCCAGGGTGATGTCAACATCAAAGGGTGAGATGCAGTGAGGTCTTGCATGTTCCTTGATCCACAGGTGCTGGGACCAGGGAAAGGTGGCAGGAGGGTAAGCTTGGGAAAAGGGATTAGCTGAGACCGGAAAGAATGTGGCTGCTCTAATCCCACATAATGAACCAGATTGTGCGCCCTCTCTGCACCCTAGGCACTAGACAAGCTGGTACAAGCTGTTGGCTTCAGCCTGCTGCACAAGAGGCCTCCCATGCTGCCATCCCCAGACAGCCTGTGCCCTCCAGCTGGCAGAAGTACCCTGGGAGGCGCAAGGTAAAATGTCTACTTCCACCTGGCAGCTTACATCTGGGTGGGGAGCTGGGAAGGGAAGAGTCTGTGATTGCAGGAAGAGGAAAGACTGGAGAATGGTGTTTTCTTCAGGCATCATATACCATCAGAGAGCAGCACCCACCGTTTACCCCAGGTCTTAGAATTGGGACCAGTAATCTGCTTCAACCAACTTCTCTGAATTCAACAAAGACCAGTATAATCAAGTTTACAGGTTCTAGGGAGGGATTTGCGATTTTGGAGATTTATAATGCACATAATCAAAAACTTAGTTTTGCTTGATTTGGGAATGAAGAGCAATTTTTTTTTTTTTTTTTTTTTGCTTTTGCAGATGTACCTTCTTAAAGTTTTTTCTTAAAGTTTGGGAAATATTGAAATACGCTTGCATTCCTTACATACCCAATGACTGATGGCTGGAGGAAGTAGCTAGAAGCTAAGTCACAAAATTAACCCCTTCTTACCTCCCCATTTCACCTTTGTTCCCCAAGAAAATAAAGTTGCCTATAGTTAAATCTCCACCAATAGCTACCTTCCAAGAGGGACTCTTTGCTGAGGAGGTGAATGGCATTGGAGCATCTGAACTCATAGACTCTTACCTTTTTCAGCTTGCCACTCTTAGTCCCCACAAAAACCACGCTGTAGCCGTTGTAAACGTAGGAGGCCACAGAGGTCATGCGGTCCCTGCTGGTGGTGTACAGGGTCAGGCCCTCCACTGGAGTTGAGCCTCCCAGGGGCTGGTTGATGTCCAGTCCACAGAAGTTATCATCGATGGGGACAGGCTGGAGGGAAGCGGAAGGAATTGGGGTGAGTAACAGTGGAGGCATGGTGAAGTCTCTACACGACCCATATCCACAACTTCCAGCCTTAGGACACCAGGCCTCAGAGAGGCAGACATGGGAGTTCAGGGGCCCTAATACAAGCTGCAGACAAAAACTTCTCACCAGCTCACCCACAAATTCCATGTTGGTTCTTATGAAGCCAGATGAAAGAACAGGCAGCAACCTTCCACTCAGCTGGCGTCACCTGTATCTACCTTTCTGCCAGGAGAACCAGGATCAATTTGTAAAGCTAAGTGCCTGAACTCATTTTCTATTTATTTTAATGTTCCTCAGGACCATGGCATTCTGTGGGATCTTTCTATTTCAGACAAGAGTTCCTTCAGTGGATAATCAGTCTAAAGGCAACATTACAGGATTTCTACCAGCCCAGAAAGGGTTTCTTGTTTGTTTCTTGGGCTGTAGGGTCTCCCTTTGGGTGCAAGAAATTTTAGGCCATTCAACTATCCAGTTGTTTAATATTTACCAGCACGTCACTGGAGCCAACCATGGGAATTCTAGCTCCCTACTATCTTTCCATACTGGAAAGAGATCAGAAGTGTCATAATGATATCGAACAGTACCTTATACTTTGGAAAAGTTAATCTACCTATGCCTCAGTTTCTTCCTTTGGAATAATACCTGCCCACCTTTCTGATAGAATTGTGAAGGAACAAATGAAATAATGCATGCAAAAGATTTGTGTTAAGTTGTCCAACTCTTTCCACTATTGTGCATTATAGATCTTCAACAATGTTTGGGTAAATATAATTAAGAGAGAATTCTGGAGGTGGTGTCCTTCATATTTCCAGCCTTTAAGGAGAGTGGTGGTGTGGCTCCATAATGTATCTGTCAGCAGCGACTGGAGCATGTTTGAAAGAAGATCACCTTGAGCAAGTGAAAAAAAAATTGTGGCCGGGCACGGTGGCTCACGCCTGTAATCCCAGCACTTTGGGAGGCCAAGGCGGGCAGTTCACGAAGTCAGGAGATCGAGACCATTCTGGCCAACATAGTGAAACCCTGTCTCTACTAAAAATACAAAAAATTAGCCAGGCGTGGTGGTGTGTGCCTGTAGTCCCAGCTACTTGGGAGGCTGAGGTGGGAGAATCGCCTGAACCCAGGAGGCGGAGGTTGCAGTGAGCCGAGATTGCGCCACTGCACTCCAGCCTGGGCGGCAGAACGAGACTCCGTCTCAAAAAAAAAAAAAAAAAAATTGCTGGAAAGAAAGTAGGAAGATCTTGATCCTATCCCCTGTTCTGCTACTAACTGGTTGTGAAAACTTGGACAAGCAGGGTCCTCTTGTAGGGCTCTTAAAGGGAATGTTAAATTGATGATTTCTAAGGTCTCAAGAAAGATCTTAGGTCTCTCATCTAAAAAAGAATGAAAGACAAAGACCATAATGCTTCCTGAGGCAGGGGCTGCTGAGGGGTTTGCATTCTGTACACAGTGCTCAGCACGGGGCTGGGTCAGAATGAGTGCTCTGACATGGCCCAGTTAATGGCACAATGTGGAATCCTGTGGCAAAGGCTGCAGGCTCTGGGCCAGAAAGAGCCCCGCATCCTGTGGCAGCTGTTCCTTCTGGGTCTGTGAAGGCATCCCAGAGGAGGAAGGAAATGGCTATCGTAGAAATCATAGAAAGCAGCAGAACAGCCTGCCCCCATGCTCCCTTCAGCCTCCTCTCACCCTCACCAGGGAAGAGCAGGCTGACACACCATCACTCGTTGACAGCCTCATTTCTTTGGAATAATTGGTTTATAAGTTATGGCATATGATTTTTTTTTTTAAACCAGGGACTTCCGTTCCTTTCTCTTCTCAGTCCCAAAAGGAGCAGAGACTCATTTTTTGTGGTTCCACAGTGTTTTGTAGAGAGCTGCTGCTCCTGTTACTGGTAGGAATGATGGTGCTGCACTTGTGTGTGTATATTCTTCAGGAAATAAAACAAATTTTTAGGTTAAGATGACTTTTGAACCCGGGATAATATTGAGCCCCACAGAGCAGAAGGAATGAGTTTCTCAGGAAGGGAGTGAAGCTGTGGTGTGCTGAAGCCAGCTGTTAGGGAATAACTGTGCATTCAGTGACATCCCATGATGCTTGAAATCAGCCAGGATAGGTGTATTTATACCATGGCAATTGGCAGAGGCTACAAACCAGAGCACTCCTCTCCCTCCCCTGCCTGCATAGAGCCAGTTATTTAATATTTACCAGCACACCACTGGAGCCAACCACGGGAATTCTAGCTCCCTAGAAAGGCAGGTCAGAGTTATCAGCTACACTTTTTACATTGTGTGCTTCTCTTCCTCATCTCATCCCTACACTACACGCAGCTACTGCCCTGGCTAAGATGAAAGTGATCCAGATTTTAGGCCTTTCTCTACTGAAACCAGCTGTGTGACCTTGATATGTCATGTACCATGTCTCAGCCTCAGTTTTCTCATCTGTAAAGTAAAAGTATTGGAACAGGTAATTGTCAAGCTTCCTTTGAGCTCTAAAAGTCCTTAATTTCATGGCTTCCATTTCTTTCCCACTTTCTGCAGGGCTGGTAAGGCCACAGAGTCTGGGCACAGGCGTAGCCCAAGTCAGCTTTTGAGAAATGATGACAGAAGCAAAAACCTGGTAATCCTAGATTTTGCTACTGTCTTATTGATTCTAGTATCTCCAGAACTATTAAAAAAAAAAAAGATTTATTCTCAGCCTAAGCCCTTAGGATTGGCTGGAATTTCTTTCCTCCTCAAGTTGTTTTTCAATATATTGTTAGATATTCCCAAACACCTGATGCACCTTTACTTTTGCTCAAATGGTGAGAGCTTGGTGTATGGCTTTCCTTGGAAACAGAAGGGCTCAATAGAGAGAGACTGGACTAAGAAGTAATACAGCCGAACTAAATTCAAATCCCCGCTTTATCACTTATAGCTGTGGAGATCTGAGCAACTTACTTAGTCTTTGTGAGCCTTTGTTTTTTAATCTGTAAAATGGGGAAGATAACTCTTGCTTTATGGGGTCATTGTGAGGAGCAAGTGAGATAACACTTAAATTGCCAAGCTTAGCCTTTAGGACTAGCTGCTATTCAATGAGTGATAGCCCCCTTCTTCCTCTCTTTTCTGGGATCAGAGCTCAAATTTTTGATCTGAGATTTCCATGTTATTCCAGAGTCATGTTAAAATCAAGCTCTGGGACCACAGCTTCTTTCATTTATCCTTATTCCCCTCTAAGGCCACCAAAATATTTCTGGGTCCCTGGGTCTTAGTTCTTTGGAGTATCAGGGTCTTTAAGGGGCCATTCCTCTTGCAGCCCTTGCACCAGAAGGGTGTGGTGCTGAAGGGGTGGAGGCAAGGGGCTCTCCACTCTAAGGTCCTGGCCCCACTCACTGTCACCTCTCTCCCAGTGCCTTTGCTATCCTTTTGTAACTAGCCCAGGCTTGTCCCTCTGCTCTGGAGCAGAGAAGAGTGTCATCTTCCTCTTTCCTCTGGCTCAGAAGCAGGCAGGAATCAGCAGTTTCCTCCTGACAAGGCCCCCTCTGGGTTATGGGAACTAGGCTGGACTCTGCAAGCATTTAACCCTTACGGAGGGTTACATTTCCTCTCCACCTCTCCACATTGGTTACGGCCAGTGGCCATAAAATTTTGGCGTTAAAAAAAAAAAAACCAAAGACTATCTAGTCTAGCTTCCTCATTTTACAACAGTAAGATAACTAAGAAAATAGCTGGCTCTTTACTACTGTGATTAATATTAATAATCATAGCGGCCCATTTATTGAATGCTTATTATGTTCCAGGTATTGTGCTAAGCACTTTACATAAATTTTCCATTTGATCCTCATAATAACCATGAAAAGAAGACAATATTATCTCTATTTTAAAGACGAAAAATTTACAGCTCAGACCAGGTACATAACTTGCCCAAAGTCACACAAGGAGTAAGTGGTAGGACTGATTTTTAATCCCCATCTGGTTTACTTCAAAGCCTTAACCACGACTCTTCTACCACACCAAGCAAATGATGACAGGAATAGAAGCGTAGCCTTGGAATGATGTTTTCTTGCTTCAAGTACTGGTGCTTGGTCCCAACGGCAGGCACCTTCAATTTAGAGTACTCAGAAGGTAGCCGTATGGGCCCCTTGGTCTCATATATTTTTTTCTAGGTTGCAGATCCAGAGCCCTCAGCACTGTGTACAAGAAACCTACTTTTGCACTTCTCACACTCCCTGTTAACTCCCTGTGTAATAATAAACCTAACATTTCCAGGCATGGTGCTAATCTCTCCATGTATTATCTCATCTGATCATCCCATGAGCTAGGCATTATTATTTCCATCTCACAGATAAGAATGTAGAGATGCTAAGGTGCTTCTGAAGAAGGCAGGAAGAAACACAGATGGAATTTGAAGCCTGGCTTTTGTCTCAGAACCTCAAACTCTGAGCCACTACATTATGTTGCCAGCTGTCTCTAGCTCTCTCTCTCTTCCTCTCTCTCTCTCTCTTCCCCCTACTAGATTATAAGATCTGTGAGACTAGTGATCATGTCTTTTTTTTTTCTGAGACAGGGTCTCACTCTGTCACCCAGGCTGGAGTATAGTAGCACAATCTTGGCTCACTGCAACCTCCACCTCCCATGCTCAGGCCTCCAGAGTAGCTGGTACTACAGGTGTGCATCACCACACCCAGCTAATTTTTGGAATTTTTGTAGAGACGGAGTTTTGTCATGTTGCCCAGGCTGGTCTCGAACTCCTGAGCTCAAGCAATCTGCCTACCTTAGCCTGCCAAAGTGCTGGGAGTACAGGTGTGAGCCACCGCACCCAGCCGATCATGTCTTTTTATGTTTGCAACCCCAGTGCCTAGTACAGTGCCAGGCATTCAGAAGATCTTCAATACTACTTGTAAATGAATAGAGGGATGGGTAGATGGATGATGGTGGATGAATAAAGAGAGGGATGAATGGATAGATGGAGGGCTAGGTAGACAAATGGATGATGGATAGATAAAGATATGGAGACATAGATTAAGGGAGAAAAAAGAGGGATGAGTGGATAAAGAGATGGATGAAGGGATGGAGGAAGGGATGGAGGAAAGAATGAAGGGAAGGATCAGGGACAGATGAATGGAGGTTTAGGTAAATAGGTGAATAGATGGATGGATGGATGATGGATGGATGGATGGATGGAGAGATGCATGGAGGGAGAGAGCTAAGGAGGATGGAGGGATAGATGGATAGGAGAATAAAAGGAGGGAAGGAAAGGGGATGGATGAAAGGAGAGATGGGTGGATAAATGAATGGATGATTGGATGGTTGGATGAATGATGGAAGAAGAGTGGATCATGAATACTTTGATGGCAGCACCATGAGCCGCTGACAGGGCAGTGCTTGCCACTGATTTTCTTGTCTCTGCTTTCCTCAGGTCTGGATTCTGAGCTTTTCATCCTCTCCTCTTTTGCCTTTGCCCACACTCCTGATTCTTCTCCAGTTTTCCATCAGTTGGTCAAGCCAGACTCCCTTCCCTCTCCTCTGACTTAGATTTCTGATCTCCACTTGACCCCCTCACTGGGAACCACAGTGGCCTACAGCTCTGTGTGTACATGACCTGGTCCCCATTACTTCTGATGGACCCCATCACCTGCTGCTCTTTCTCTCACATACTCTGATCTGGCTGCAGTTGCCTCCTTACTGTTCCTCAGACACTCCAGGCATGCCCTGAATTCTTTGCACATTCTCCTCACCCTTTCTCTCTCTGGAATGCTTTCTCTGGACACTTGTGTGGCTCCCTTTCTTCCCATCCTCAGTTTTTGCTTAGACACCACTTTCTCAATGAGTCAGTCCTCTCAGCTACTGCCTCTCCCCCTTTCCTGTTTATTTTTCTCTATAGCCATTATCACCATTTGGCAAACTAACATGTATTATGTGTTCATTTGTCTCACCCAACTAGCGTGTAATCTCCATGAGGGCAGTGAGCTTTGTAGGGTTGTATGGTTCACAGCTGAAGCCTGCAGCATTTACAATAGCACCTGATGTGATGTAGGCACTCAATACATATATTTGAAATGACAACAAATCAACACACATATCTCAAGTATCTGGTGTACGTAAGACCCTGCGTTATTGGTTACCACCTGATAACCTGAGTCTGAAAACCTCTTTCATTTCAGGTCCATGGTGGTGTGGGAGCAGATGTGCCCCAGGGCATGGACAGGAAGGTTGGAACCTGTGTCATGGAGCAGGAGCAGAGCGAGGTGTGTGCCTCCTTACCGCCTTGGTGCACTGGACGTCCTTCCCCAGCAGCCAGTTGAGCTCCAGGTTGCCCTCGCCCTGGTAGCAGGACTGCAGGCGCTCCTTGATCTGCAAGTTGATGGCCCGGATAGGGAAGGCACACAGGGCAGAGTCATCGGGCGGGTGGTGATACTGCTTCTGCCCTTTGGAGAAGATGGCAAAGAGTACATCGTCCTGGCTGGTGATATTGAAGGCCTGGGCCAGTGAGTCCCCAGGCTTGGCCAGGTAAGCAGCCTGCAGGAGGCGGTATTCCACCCCGGCCCGGGTGCAGCCGAAGGGCAGGGACACGTATGAGTGGAACTTGGGGTCATCCTTGCAGAGCCGCACGATGCGTGAGGTGTAGAAGAGGTCTCCAGCGGAGTTGATGGCCACACCCTCAGGGGTCTCGGGCTGGACAGTGAGAAAGTAGACAAAGCCCCCACTAGCAAAGCCGTAGATGTAGAAGATGTCAAAGTGGGAGACCAGGGCCAGGGTGTCTGAAGGGATCTTGATGAGAGAGGAGACAAAATCGCTGTGTAGCTCATAGTCGAGCATGGCTGAGGACTCAGGGTCTCGGGGCAGCTTCCGGCTGGACAGGGTCGGGAAGTAATCCTGCTTCCCATCCACAGCCGTGCCGATGAAGAGCTTGCCATCCTCACCCTCAGAGCGCACAATCACCCCGTACATGGTGCCCGTCTTGTTGACACTGGACAGGTAGTGCTCCTTCTTGTGGGATGGCTCCACCAGGATGAAGAGGTCATCCAGCCGCAGCAGCTTGCAGACCCCCTGGTAGAGGCTCCCACAGGCCAGCAGGCGGTTCTCAGAGTAGTCAATGATGAGCAGCTTGTTGACATTGTTGGTGAGGGTGAGCACTTCGCTGCAGGGCTGCACGATGAGGGGCGGGTAACAAGACTTGTTGTCCTCTTCTGGCCCTGTCTTATGAGCCACCTGGATGGTCAGGTTGCCTGTCAGCTTATAGACCCGGTTGATGGCCCCCACATAGACGGCCCCCGTCCCTTGGTGGACGGTCAAGTGGTTGAAGGTCCAGTCACGATTCTCAGAGTGGAAGGTGCTGAACTGAGGCATGCCGGCTGCTGGGGGGGCCAGCAGCACCCAGACCACTGAGAGCAGGACCACAGAGCGGCTGTCCACCTCCAGGGCCCGGGGCCAGGGCCGCCTCTGTTCCATGCTGAGAGGGGCGGCGGTGAGGAGACGGCTCCTGTGTGTGCTCATCTGCTCCACCTTCCCCGGTTGGCCCTCACATGATTCTGCAAAACACAAGGCAGAGTGGTCAGACCAAAAATAATTTCCGGGAGGAGCAAAGAGGCTGGCCTGACCCAGGGTCCCCATCCTGGTTTAGCTCTGTGAGTCTCCTCCTTCTGCATTTTGGTTTTTCTATTTTTAACATACTTTCTCCCTCTTAGGAATGTTCAGGGAATCCTGTTATCTATTTTGGTCTCTAGCCTTTATGCTATAAAATACTTGCTTTTTTTAAAATTTTATTTTACAAAGCATCTCTATTTCTGGCCCCTTAAGCCATCGTTTTCATCTCCCAGAGAGGTTAAAAGGCTGTTGAAGTTCACCCAGCCAGTCAATTTGATATTAGGACTAAACCCAGTCTTCCCTATCCTACCGGCACGTCTTATCCCAGCCCAGTGGAAGTCGCTCCTGTTTTTTGAAAGCTTGTTAGGCAGGCCCTCCCCCAGGCTCTCCAGGTCAACTGCTCCCAGAGTCTGATATTGCACACAAAATTCCTTCCTATTTTAGACTTCCATCACCTCACTCCGCTGCATCTCTTCACTTTCTCATGCTCTGTTATCCACAGAGAGGCAAGGAGCTGGTCACCCTGAGTGAGAGTGCCCTGCTCTGCCCTCAGCCCTTTCTTCTCCAGCAAGAAGAACCCCTGATCACTAGCTGTTAGAACAGCTGTTAGAACTTGTTAGGAAAGGGAAAAATGTTGTAGCCAACAAGACTGGGATTCCCACATGTGCCATTCCGGAGCCGGAAAAGCCCTCGGGAGACAGGCAGATCTCTTGAGATTCCCCCATCCTTCTCAAGGTGGACGCCCAGCTGCTGCCAGGTAGCCAGGTCCTCGGGAAATTGCTTCAACCTCTGCCTCTCTGCAGGCAGAGCACATGGGAAGCCAGGACACACAGAGAACCAGTCTCCTTGCTAGGGGTTACTGGCTGGCTGAGTCCAGCTTCAGCCACCTGGGGCAGGGGTACCAGATTTGGGAGAATGTGGGGAGCAGCAAAGGGTGGTGAGGTGAGATTCAGTCTCATTTCAGGCACTGCTGGGGCCTCCTGACTGTTTCAGCATCCATGAAATCACCAGCGGGCCTCAGTGGGCCATGCTCGAAGCCCAGTCTCTAGCCCTGACTCCTTTACTCTTCCCCCTGCCTCCTGACTCCCAGGCTTTAAGGCTCCTCCACTTCCAGAGCCTTGGTGCTTATTCTTCCCTGTTCCAAGGAAGCTGCCCAGAGGGGCAAGGTGGGGCTCCTGAGGACAGCCTGTAGCCAGGGGCAGTCTGGGCCAGGGGCAGGAAGTCAGAGAGCAGAGCCTGGAGGTCAGAGAGCAGGACCTGGAGGTCAGAGAGCAGGGCCTGTTCCATCACTATCATGGTACTGTCCTGACTTATGGAGAGGGACAGTGGGAAGTGACTGCGGCACCAGGAGAAGGCAGCGAGCTGTCCGGCAGAGAAAGCTTTTCTCAGCTGGAAGATCATCCAGCAACCTTCTCAGGCAAGTCCAGACAGAACTCTGGGCACATAAGGTGGCAGGGATGGAAACACCCGAAGGATGGAGAGTTTGCTCCAAGGCAGCTTAGGAGAGGCCTTTCTCCCTCAACTCCCCATTCTGGCTGGATTGGGTTATAATTAGAACAGACACCACTTAGAGAATCCCCTAGAGTTTCTTTAGGAACGACCCTTCCTCTTGTTCAGTTCTGCATCCTCGGCCTGGCAGCCACCGTGGTGCCACAGTAGGTCCCACCTAACTCCCTCCTCCAACCCGACTCCCCCAGGGTGTTCGGGGTGACTCATGAGGCCCTGGGCTTCCTTGGAAAGAGGAAGGCAACACCGGCATGAGACTCAGGCTGACCTCAGCTACTCCGACACAGCCCTTCCGGCCCCAGGCGCACACCGGCAAAGCCTCCCAACAGACAGGGCTTTCAGTTTGGAAACCAGAGGTTATTTTTAGCTATGTCCTGAGGCCGGTAGCAGGACGTGAATTCCTGAAGAGGAGCTGTGGAAAGGAAATAACAGAATCCTTAAATTCTCCAGCTGGATGGGGAATTGCAAGAGGCCATTCTCTGCCCCTGTCGCTGGGAAGAAAATCTCCTTGGGTTCCAGGTGGAGAGTGGTTCCTCCTTGAGGAGCCGCGAGGGGAGGAAGGGGGTTCTGGTAGCAGAGATAACATGGAAGGACTTAGTATGCGGTTAAGATCAGCCACCTCACCTCCCTGCTTGGTATCCTCCCAAGACACAGTTTGAATAGTGAGTGGCTTTTGTTGTTGTTAGACAGAATCTGGGAACAAATTTGGGATTTGAGGCAAGTCAAGTCTCATGTCCCTTTCTGGTAGAATGGGAATAACTACAGTATGTACCTTTCAAGTTGTCATGACAGTAAATGAGACAATATAGAGACCAACCTCTTAGCATGGTTGCAGGCACACAGTGAGCACTTAACTTATGTTAGTTTTTGTTATTATTATTATTATTGAGACAGAGTCTTGCTCTGTCGCCCAGGCTGGAGTGCAGTGGTATGATCTCAGCTCATTGAGACCTCCGCCTCCCTGGTTCAAGCGATTCTGCTGCCTCAGCCTCCACAGTAGATGGGACTACAGGCACGTGCCACCACACCCGCCTAATTTTTTTTTTTTTTTTGTATTTTTAGTAAAGACAGGGTTTCACCATGTTGGTCACACTGCTCTCAATCTCCTGACCTCGTGATCCACCTGCCTTGGCCTCCCAAAGTGCTGGGATTACAGGCGTGAGCCACTGCACCTGGCCTGTTATTGTCTTTGAAGACTCCACAGGAGATGGCACTTCTGAAATCCTGCCACAGCTCTTGACTTCTCTTTTTGCTTATATTCTTCCTTTCCCACCCACAATGAGATGAACACTGTGGGTGTGCCTTTGATCCCTAGGCCTCCCCGACCCAGTGACAGAGCTCAGTCTGGGAAGCATGTGGCAAGGGGAAAGAAATAGATCCAAGGTGATCTTCTTTGTCATACTACTGCACAAGTCCCAATATAGCCTCTCCGCAGACTGCAGGAAGGCTGGTGGAAACACAGGATCCTGAGAGTTAGACTGAGAATGAGAAACGTCCTGATGTCTAGAAGGCATGAGGTCACAGGGCAGGAAGAAAGGTGGGAGACTCAGGAACCCTGGGTTCACATTCTGCCTGTGTGACTCATGAATTATAGTGTCACTCACTTTAGACCAGTCTGGCATTTCCATGAGCCTATTTCTTGATCTTAAAACAAAAGGTATTTGAATTAGTCAACCTATAAGATTTCCTTTTTCAGATAAAATGCTACCTCGAAGCTTAGTTCCTTCAGTTCCTGGAGTCTGTGATTCCAATAGCAGCTGAGGTTTTTTGCTCCAACCTGGAGAGGCTGATTAGGTCAGGAGCTTTTTTCTTTTTCTGTTTTTTTTTTTTTTTTTTTTTTTTTTCAGGCCAGTAGTTCTAAACAGACCACTCCAGCTGGGCTGTTTTCCTCTCACCCTCATGCAGCATTTGCTTTGGGACAGGCCACTCCTGATAACCAGCCAAGTGAATTCATCTCACAGGACTCAGGGACTGCCCGCCTGGGAGCAGCTGTCATTGGACACTGGAGTCAAGAGGAGGCACAGTCTCCTGCAGTGAGGGGAGGTTTGCACCCCACCTTGGGAGTGTGGCCTTCATGAAGACAGCTGACTTCAAGGGCACGTTGAGAGCCTTCATCTTTCTATGCCAAATTGATGTGACTAAGTGGCTGTTCCAAGCAGAGCCCAGTGGGCAAAGATCAGGACTCCTATCCACATTCTGAGTAAGGGAGGATGGAGCCCACCTTTGTGCCTCTGGTGAGAGGCAGTGCGATATAACAATTAAATGCATGAGCTCTGAACTTAGGTGCCTGGACGCAAATGGAGCCTATAGCTGTGTACACTTGGTCAAGGTACTTAGCCATTCTATGATGTTATCTAACTATCTATATAAAATAGGTTTAGTACTAGTAGCTACGTCATAGGATTATTACAATGAAATCAGTTAATACATATAAAAGCACTTAGAACAGTTCATGGCCATCTTAAGTGTTTAAGATACATTAGCCTTTGTTATTAGCAATTTATTTGTCATTATTTCCAGCTCCTCACCTCCATCCATCCCATCATCTGTCTTAGAATGAATTTCCCATCCTCAGTTTGGTAGACACTGGTAAACAAACATGCATTTGACTTTGCATACCCAGTGTGACTTCCTCCTATCCCCAATTTTCTGCTAGTGTCAACCTCAGGAGTTTTCTCTTAATAATGATGCTTTCTTCTTTCTGTCACATCCCTCTCTGTTTAGTGCATGAAGTCACTTGTCACATGCATTCTCAAGAGCCAAAACTTGCCTAGTCTCTGTTCTACCAGTTTCCCTCTCTCCTACTCCAAGTCTCAAACCAGGTATGCTGCTCCAGGACTCTCGCCTGAACAAGAGAGTCTCCCAGCACATGTAACTCGGAGCGTTCCTGATGCCAAGGAGAGGCCACGCTTGCCTCTTTGGGAAGCAAGTGCCACTAAATATTTTATGTGGAGGGCCCGATGACACCATCTCCCCGATCAGGATTCAGGAGGCAGGTGTTAGTGACAGCTAGTGAAGGCATCTGATACCTTCCTGATCAGCTGCTGCGGGCGTCAGTGGCAAAGCAGGGAAGAAATGACAATCAGGCGTTTCCAGTTCAGCTCAGTAGAGGATTGTCTCCTCCCTGCTACCCTCTCCTATTGCCCTTTTCAGGAGATCTGGGTGCACATGCCTCTACGTTTCCACTTGGCTTTCCCTTATAGCAAAAGGAGCTGGTGGAAAGAGAATTTAGATTTGAAATACGATTTTGCCAAATTGAGTCAAAGTTCCTGTTAGTAGCTCTCATACCCGTGGGCCCATCTGTAGCTCCACTTGCCACTAACTCCATTCCTAACAACCCTGTCATCAACATCATCGTCACCTCCAGCACCATCCTGGAGCTGACAGTTTTCATAACAATAACAGCAAAGGGTGCCTACTATTACTACTGCACCTACTAGGGAGCTCACACACTCTGAGGAGCCAGACGGTGGTAGGGAAAAGATGAGCATGAAAATGAGGGCTGTGAAATCAGGGAAGTTAGCAGCTGTTCCTGGAAGTCACTTAGCCTCCTTCCTTTCCCATGATGGAGAGGAGTCCGTCTTCTCCTTCAGCTCTTCCTTCTAATGAGTAGTGCCTTTAAAGCAGGAGAATGCTGAGGGAGATTATAAGATTATTCCAACCCACTGTTTTTTTTTTTTTTTAATATGAAAGACACCACAGCCCACAGAAAGGAAACAAATTGACCAGGGCGACTCAAAGTGAGTCAGAAACAGGCTGCAGTCAGAACCCAGACCTCATGACAAAAAGGCAGGCGCTTCCTCCATTGTAGGTGGAAGGGTCCTGGGAGTTAGTTACGTTTTGCCTTCAGGCTGTCCTGTTTTCGGGAAAGTGGATGCCTTTGATAATAGCCCCATGATACGCAGAAGTGAGTGTGGCATTGGGCCTGGACAACGAGGTGGTGCTCAGGGCAGATTCAAAGAGGGGCGGATTAAGGGGCAGAATGAAAGAAAGACACATGTCCGAATGGCTCCTTTCCCCCTTGGGGAGAATGATTGCTTCTGTCCTCTTCTAGGCCCAGGCAGGCCCAGGCAAATGTCACACTCAGGACCGTCACCTATGCTGTAACTTGGGGGCTATGGTGTCCTCTGCCACAACCCCACGGACAGGTCAGATTTAGTCTATGCACAGAAAGCTCCTTCTTCCCAAAGAGTTAGAGCTACAGCAGAAGGGATTAAAGTTAGATATTAAGGGGGACATTCTGCCTAGAGAGGATCTGCAGAGCATCCTGCCAAGGAGATTCTGAAATTTTCTGATATTGAATTTTCCTGGAAGCTGCCTAGGAATCAGTTTACCTAGAGGCAGGGGATTGGTCCCAATGATCTCAGAAGGCTCCTTTTGGTTTAAGATTTCTGTGAGAATAAAATTGTCTAAATGTGAGAGTCTGAGGCCCCATCTTTTCCCCGTGGGTGGAATGCTACTGAAGGACCTGTCTTCATATCCCTTGTGCAGCTGTACGTGCAAGCATTCTGAGCATCGCTCTGTCTAACACCGACCTTAGAGGTAGTCCAGGCACGTTGGGTAGCACAAGGTGAGCAAGAGGGCGAACGCAAAAGCCCCGGGTAATGCCGACGGCTGAAAGTCCTCAATTAGAGTGAAAGGAGTTATCTGGTATTTAAATAATTATTAGAGTGAAGGAATAATCATGGGTTTGAGCTGATTTTTTCCCCACTGTCACTCTGATGGCGTCTATAATATTATTATTCAAATGCCCATGATTCTCATTGAGAACCAAGAGAGAGGAGAGAGTGGGGGTGAGGGGGTGGGGAGCAGGGAGAGGGTGGGGAGAGAGACTCATTTAATCTCCATGTGACAGGGCTGCAGGAGGTACGATTAGTCTTTTTCTTATTTCAGCTGTCACTCATGCACAGACACCGAAGATTGTTATTAGTATATTTTATGCACGCGATTTAAAGGGAAAAGGGGGAGGGGGGTGAGGAGAGAAAGAATTTCCTATGGAAAATAGCGGGACCAAAGGAACAATTTAGATGTCACTTCTGTACCAGCTGCGTTTGCTTCATTAATCGAATGTCATTTTTTCCCTAGACTCTGTGCGGTTATGTGAAGCGAAGTGGCTATACCTTGCCCCAGAGTGAAGAAGGAAGGTGAGAGGAGAGAGGGGAGGAAAATAGGTCTCTGCCTGCATGTACCCTTGGCAGCCTTCTCTGAGAAGGTGACACAGATGACACTGTGGCCCCTCCAGGAGGTGTCAAGACAAATTTGGGTGACAATTTCTACCCAGTCACCCTCTCTTACTATGAGAAGGTGGATCTCCTGCTTATCTTCATATATGCGATTCGTTTCACAGGTGGGATAAACTACATCCACGCTCCAATAACCAAGGAGTAAGAGATGGAAATTTGGGGAGGCTCTCAAAATCTCGATCAGTAATAAGGAAAGAACCCATACTCCAGGCGGTGAGGCAGCAGGGGCTGTGAGAGGGGAGCTGCGTGCGGCTCTCAGCTTTGGACAAGGCCCTTAGATCTTACATATGTGCGTGACAGTGAGGGACCCTCCATCTCTGCAGTGGTGAACAGAGGCAGGGTAATGGGGCACAAGTGCAGGGGCTGGATACTAGCAAGAAAGCGAGGGATTGAGTTAAAGGCTGAATTGTGTCCCCTGGAAATTCCTGTGTTGAAGCCTAACCCTAAGTACCTCAGAATGTGTTCTTATTTGAGACGGTGTCTTTTGTTACTGTTGTTTTGGTTTGGTTTTTTTGAGACGGGGTCTCGCTCTGTCTCCCAGTCTGGAGTGCAGTGGCGCGATCTCAGCTCCTTGCAGCCTCCATCTCCTGGACTCAAACCATCCTCCCACATCAGCCCTAGGAACCACAGGGATCTGTGGGGCCACAGGCACCTGTCTACACCTGGCTAATTTTTATTTTTATTTTTGTAGAGATGAGGTTTCATGATGCTAGCCAGGCTGGTCTTGAACTCCTGGGCTCAAGTGATCCTCTAGCCTCGGCCTCCCAAAATGCTGGGATTACAGGCGTGAGCCATGGCACCCGTCCCTGAGACAGGGTCTCTACAGAGGTAATCAGGTTAAGATGAGGTCACTAGGGTAGGCTCTAATGCGGTGTGATCTGGTGTCCTTATAAAAAGGGGGAAATGTGGAGCCTGAGACAGACACTCACAGAGGCCAGGTGATGTAAAGAGACATCCACATCCTCATCTGACCATCTACAAGCTCAGAAGAGAGGTCTGGAACAGCTCCTTCCCTCACAGCCATCAGAAGGAATCAACTCTGCCCACATCCTCATCTGGGACTTCCCAGTTTCTGAACTTGGAGAAAATAAATTTCTGTTATTTAAGCCACCTGGTCTGTGATACTTTGTTACAGCAACCCTGGCAAACTAATACAACAGGGAGGAGAAAGGCACTCAAACTTCATGGTTCAGGAATTGTTCTTTTAAAGGAGAGGGGTCTGGGTGTGCAGGCACACGAAAATTTGCAGAGATAGGCGGGTATCTCTGACTCCTGCTGCCTTCACCTAGCCCAGAAAACAGTAGCCCAGAGAACTCACTTGCTCTGCCCATGATAGCTTTGGGATGCGAATTAGGATGTGCTGATTTCTGCTGTTCCTGCAGAGTGGACCCTACCCTTTTTTTGCTTCTCCTGCCCAGAAGAGTGAATCTGCCACTTGCCAGACCCCAAGGAGAGATCTCTCTCACTCCCACCCCGGCTCCTCCTCCAGGCACAAGCCCTGTCCTGGGACTGCTTTTAACGTCAGGGAGAGATTTCTGTTGTTTTTTTTTTCCCAGGTCTCCCAGTAGGCTCTGATCGAGCCCTGGAAACCACACCAGCTCTCCCAGGGCCTTAGCAAAACATGTAGTGTTTGTCCTCTCCACTCACAGGCTATAAAAGTTTGGAGTTGTATCCCTGAATTATGAAGGGTTCCAAGATGTGCACTCATCTGAGGGGCTGGCGGGGGCTCTGTTTCTTTCTGGGGCACTGGCTGAGCTGGCTTTGCAAAGTCAAAACAAGATTCATTACCCTGGGGCCGGGAGCAGGGAGATACACCGCCTGACCCTGCAGACCTGCCCCATATGTCATGGGCCTGTCAGAAATCTCCCAGAATTCCCTTTATTATCTAAAGGTCGCCACCCGGGCAGAGCTGAGAGAGCCGCATGGTATAAACTAAAATACAAGAACAATCAATTTCAAGCAGCTGCCTTCCCTGCCACCCCATCCCCTGCTCCCCCTTCCTTAGGCTCTGCCCTCTTCAACCCCCTTTGGGGGAGGGTCAGGAAGGAGCCCTGCTTTGCCATGGCCACCTCCCCGCTGGGTCAGAAAGAATTTCTCCAAATTAGCAGGGCTCTGATGCTATGAGAAGCAGGCTGTGGGAGCACTCCAGCCTTCTGTGCAAACGGAGTCCGAGAAAGGTCATCCCACCTCTTCCCTGATTCTAACAGGACCCTATTTAAACCATCTTATCAATTGAGTTGCTGTTCTGGTAGACATTATGGGATTAAAGGACAAAAAAAGGAATTCTCAGGCTCCTTCCAAAGGCAGGAAAAGGAAATAAAAGTAGGCATATGGCTTTGCCAAGCCAAGTCAAGATTCATGTTAGGAGACCTCATACTCTAATGACCATGAGTAGCAAATTACTAGCAACTCTCACTTATTTTCTGGAAAAAAAACTATGAAGAGTAGCTACTATTATTATTATTTATTAACCACCTGCTACATGACACGCTATGCTACATGCCCTGTATATGCTATCCATAGTTGTGTGATTAGCTTGCAAGGTGAGCATGACTATCCCCATTTCACAGATGAAGAAATGGAATCTCAGGAAGCCTAACGTGACGAGCATCAGCTAAGAAGCCAAGATTCTCGAGGCCCATGCTTTCCCTACTATTCTACACTGCCTAGATTTTTAAGACTTATTTTTCAGCCAAACCTTCTTATCACTGGTCTGGGAGAACTCACCAGAATGTTTAGTAAGACTTGGCAAGTACTTTATGTTAAAGGTCAAAACTTGAGGCTCCACAGTTCCATTTATGTCTACCCTGAGCTGATCCTTTATTTTGGTAACCAGGCAGTGCTGGGGTAGGGCACACAGGAGTCCTGGTTATCAAGCACCAGGTGGAATCCAGGGGTGTTTTGTGGCAGGAGCTTTGCTAGCTTGGCAGCCGCCTTTCAGAGCAATTCCAAATGATATTTTCAAAGAGCCTGGAAATGTCTCTCATCCAGTCTTCACTGTACAAGGGAGAGCCAGGGACTCTTCGAGGTTGAGATGGGGCAGGAGAGCAAGCTTAAAAAGTACTCAACTAAAAGGTTAAATAAATTACAGTTACTCCATATAATGGCATATTGTGCTGCCATTAAACATAATGTTTTCAAAAATAATGACACTGCTCTAATTTATACTACTGGGAGAAAAAAGGAGGAACAATGAGGGAGTAAGAAAAAGCCAAAACAAAGCAGTAGGCATTCATCTCAACTCTCGGTCCATGAACTGACCCTAAAATCCCACTTACTCTCCTTTGAAGCTGTCCACATCTTTTTCTTCTTGAAGAAAAATGTTAATGGCTCCCAGGAGACCCAGGTGAGAGAACTTCCTGCTTTCTTTTGCAGACCTTCCTTGTTACCTCCAGTGACCTCACATGGCTGGCCACTGAAGTGCTCTAGGGACAAGGATCACTCCCAATCCCTGATGCTTCATCTCTATCTCAGGGAGAGTGGCCATTAGTGCCAGATGATGTGCACTTTTTAGCACTGCTCATTTCCAGAAGCTAGGGTTCCCAAAAGTTCAAAGGGCGGGGCTCTTCACCAGGAATCCTCGTGCTGCCTCCCTGAAAATAATGCTTGTAAGACAGTGACATTGTCACCATCCAGGCCTTCCTCTGAGATGGACCCTGGTGAAACCCATTGGCAGCCAAGATCCAGCCACAGATCTGCAAGTTGTGCCTTGTGCTGCCTCATTCCTTGTGTCTCAGACCCATTGTCTGACTTTGCCAGGCACATGGCTGAAGTGTGAAATTCACCTATGGAAACACCTTCTGTGTTTCTATCTGGGCTGTTGCCCAGATAGACTCAGCACTGCTAAGCACCCAAGTTCAAGTCCTTTCCCAGCTGGCTCTTCTGTCTTTCTCTAACCTCACTGCCCACCTCTCCCAGAGTGACTCCTCTCCCAACAAACTGGTTGGTCTGTTGAGTCCCCAAAACGCCCTGCCCTGGAATGCTTGTTTCCACTCCCTTCTTTGCCTATCCATACCCAGCCCATCCTTCAAAGCCTCATAAACCCTCTAGGGCCTCTCCATCTCCAATCTCCTTTCTCTCCTCCAAAGTCAATTAAAAACTGCTGGTTTTAATGGTTTCCTCTCATGGCCCTCGGGTGATTTAGGACCACTTGTGTTGCTCTTGCTGGTTTGTCCAGGCACCTGTGGCAGCACAGAAGGGCGTAGAGGAGGAAAGGGGAAAACCGGTCCTGAGGAGGAGGAGAAGATGCTGAGATACCAGCTCCTTAGGCTCAGCCCCGCATTCTCTGGGCCCTTCCCATACAGGTCTGCCTCAGTACACAGGCTAAATTTCCTCTTCCTTCCTTGTCTTTCCCTGCCTCTCTTTCTCTCTAAAAACTGCTAGTTTTTAATTGACTTTGGAGGAGAGAAAGGAGATTGGAGGTGGAGAGGCTAGAATCACACACTGATTCTAGCACACACTACATTGCAGCATTGAGCTGTCTTTTTTATGTGACTATTTCCTATCTCCCCACTGAATTAGAGGCTCTTTGAAGGCAGGAACAATATCTCGTGCTTCTTGGTATCCGTGCAGGGCTAGCATGATAACTTTCACTCAGTATTGTGTTCAGCCTGAATTGTCAAGAGCAGCGCGAGGGGGTGCCCAGGTGTGCTCATTTGCTTTTTCTCAGTGGACACTGTCCCTACTAGTTGGCCTCAAGAAATGATTTGAACTAATACACTTGGCTCAGGGATCTGTCATGACTGATCTTCAGGAGGTAGTGAAGAAGGAGGTAAATGATTTAGGAAGGATCCTGGCTATTATTTGCCTTGAACCCACT
The DNA here is from genome assembly GCF_000001405.40 of Homo sapiens. Lineage (NCBI taxonomy): Eukaryota > Metazoa > Chordata > Mammalia > Primates > Hominidae > Homo > Homo sapiens. Next base: position 208,229,626 of record NC_000001.11, read on the forward strand.
GGGTGAGGCTAGATGGGTGAGGTGGGAAGAAAGATGGAGAAGAATGGGAAGATACCAGCTCTGTCTTTGAAGAATGTATAATCTAGACTTGTGCAGGAAAAGTCTTTGCAAGACAGCTCCAGAGCCGTTAACCATATAATATCATGGATCACATAAAAAGCACATAATAATAAAAAATGACAAATTCACAATATAAAGTGATGAACAGAGTGGGGTGAGGGAAGTCCCCTTGGAAGGTTCCAGAACAGGGTCTTCAACAAGGAGGTCAAACTCGCAGCGCTGGATGGCGCAGAGAAAAGACCTTGGCCTTTGGAGACGGACCTGGGCTCAAGTCTCATTCTATCACTTACGAGTCTGGTGACCTTGAACATGTTATTTAACCTTTTGGAGCCTCGCTTTCCTCAGCTGTAAAATGACACCTCACAGGGTTGTGGTGAGAATCAATGAGATAATGGATGTGAAATTGTTTTGTAAACTCTAGAGCTCTAAGTAAACACCAGTTATTCTTGTTTCTGCTTTTGGAGAAACACTGTACAAGGACATCATCTCCTTGGCTGCCTTGTATGATGGTGACAAACTCCGAGGGTTCTGTTTTAGCTCGAGAGATTGGTGATCATTGTGCAGCAGAACCTGGTGACCCAGCACCTGCCTCCCCAGACCCAGTCCTCTCGGAAGAAACAAACAGGGTGCTGCTAGTCCCACCTTCTCCCCGTGCTGACCTGAGGTCTTGAGTTGTCATTCCCACCATTTCTATCAGTGGTCCCATGATTTCAGGCCACCCTCCTCTCATGGCCCTTGGGTGATTTAGGACCACTTGTGTTGCTCTTGCTGGGTTGTCCAGGCACCTGTGGCAGCACAGAAGGGTGTGGAGGAGGAAAGAGGAAAACCGGTCCTGAGGAGGAGGAGAAGATGCTGAGATACCAGCTCCTTAGGCTGGGGCCTCGCATTCTCTGGGCCCTTCCCATACAGGTCTGCCTCAGTACACAGGCTGAAGTTCCTCTCCCTTCCTTGTCTTTCCCTGCCTTTCTTTCTCTCTAGTGCTTTTCTGAACCAACAGCCAGCCTTCCAATAAAAAAGCTTTAACTCCTTTTCAGGAGGAAGCTTCTTAAGCAGGCTATGTCCCCACCCTGTATCTTCCTACCTGCAGTTTCTATTATTTTTCTCTCTTTGTCTGAGACTCCCAGCTCTTGCAGTAGAGATCCTTAGCTGTCAGACAGCCTCTCCTAAGTAACAGGCACGCTCACAATTACACACACCAAGCAAGGGGAGTGCCATGGAGCTGGATTAAAGGGGCATGCAGAAACTGAGGGGTGGCTGGAACTCTGGGCAGAGGTCTGACCACTTAAAGGTCTTTTCTGTGCCAAGATGTAGAGACACTCGGCCTGAAGGACCCTTAAGCACCTGGAGTGGCATCAGTCCCTTGGTGAAGGAGCACAGTTAGTAGACATTTGAGACCCTTGAGGCGCTATCAGCCCAGCCCCGGACCTCTTGGATCCCTCAGCCCACTGTGAGGGAGAGTGACGGGCGCAGTTTTCTGAGAGGTTGAGACAGGGGGAAGAATGTGCTGATGGGGAGCAGGGTGGGAATGGCAGGCCGGGGAGGGAGGACCTAGGGCAGGAGATGAAAAGTGCTCCCTGAGTGAGAATCTGGCCCTGGATGATGAATGGGGTGTGAGAGAGAAGCCGGGAAAAGGGTAAACAGCCAGGAGGGACCCAGGAGGGAAGCGGGAGGGAGGGGTGAGGAGAAAGAATGTGGAGGTCAAGGAGCAAAGAAAATGCTCCTGGAGTGATTGACTCAAGATCCAACATGTTCCGCACCGGATGAAGGCACATGTGCACACAGATGTGCCTGGTCACCCGCCCTCCCCTCCACACGCCTGCGAAGGTGTGAGCACGTCTGTCTGCTCTCCTCCCAGATGCATTCCATGCCCTTCGGAAAAACCTTTCTTCTGATGTTTGGTTCTGAGTGTGCAAGGGACCCCACTGTAATACGAACAAGTATTTGTGCAATGATTTTATAGTTTCCTAAAAATTTCACATGCATCATCCCGCTAACGTACCCCTTACTCAAGCTGGTGAGGTTGAGAGCAGCATACGCATCACCAGTTTACAGGTGAGAGGACTTAGGTATATTTGAGGTTGAATATTTTGGCAAAGGCACCAGATGTGAAAGTGGGACTTGGACTTGGGGGGTCCTGGAGTTAAACATGTCACTTGGCTTCTCTGCTGCCTGACGTTGCAGATGCCACCAACTGATATATCTTGGAAGAGATCACTTACTCAAGAGGATACTCTCTGCCTGCACATAAGCAATACTCTGACCATAGTTGGGGATATCCTGTTACTACTCTTTGCAAATGGATATGGGGTCTAAGGAGCTGTGACTCAGAGTTGAATTCTTGGGCCCTGTGAATGTTTAGAGGAAAAGGCCTGGGGCTGGGAGCTGCTGGCCATCCACTGAATGCCATTTGGCTCTTGCCCAGTTCTGGCGGGTGGGAAGGAGGGCTGGGGAGGGGCTGAGGCCTGGACATGGCCCCAGGGGCTTGCACAGGTGGTGGCAGATGGAAAGGATCCAAAAGCACAAATCTGTAAGGAGAGACCACTGTGCCAGTCTCCCTCTCCCCAGCCGGCCCTTTATTGTGGGAAAGAATGCAGCTGCCAGCAACCCCTCTGAAGACCAAGCACCTCTGCAGTCCCTGCAGCCAGCCCAAGAGTGCAGAAGGCTCCTATCTGCCTTGACTCCTCTCCTTACCCATCTCCTCCCAGCTCTCAGCCCTGGCCCTGCTGCTCTTCAATTCCCGACAGTGGCAGATCACTGATTAATTCAGGCCTGTTTAATAACCCTTCTATTTCGATGAAACAAGCTGTCTTGTTTTCTTTATTTTTAACACTGACTTTCGTTTCTTTGCTAAGCATCTTACTGTCATTTAAATTTCTCTGTCTCCAACCAAGCTGATAATAGACTGGAGTGAGCAGCTGCTTCCGTCCCGTTTATGACAATGATTAGAAGAAGTTAGAGCTGTGCAAGCAGAGAATTGACCAAATCTCAGTTCAGAGGGGTCTGCTCCTGCTTGTAGAGGGAGTGTTAATTTTAACATGATTAGGAGAATTCTGGCTCCAGAGGAGACCAGGGCTAATCCCAGCCTAGCCTTCCTCGCACCCTGCTCGGTGGAGACTGCCATGGGCCTGAAGGTGTGAGAACCAACTTTACTTACTTTGGAATTCAATTGTATGGACCTGACACTCCACTTCATAACACAGCCTTTTCCTCCACTGAATTTGGATTTACTTAGCAGCAAAGAGGGAACTCAAGCTTAGAAGATTTAGGGTGGGTGGAGACCTCAGCTATCAGCTACGATACCTTTCTGCTCTATGCAGGAATCTCTTCTTGAGACCTGGCCATCTTCTAGCCTCTGCTTGAATTCCCTAAATGTTGTAGAGCCCATTCCCTCCCTAAGTAGCCTTTTCCAGGCTGGGATAGCTCTGGCTAATCTCTCTCCTTCTGTCTTTTTGCAATACTTATTTGTGACTTGTAGGACGATGATTTGCGTGCATACCCTCTCTTGCCAGGTTGAAACCTCCTCAAGAGCCTGGACAATGACTTGTCTCCCCTCTATCATACTCGGTATATGGATATTCTATAAACACTCGTTCAGTCAAATGAAATTATGCTGCACCAACTTTAAAATTTCTTGCAAGGAACGTATCTTTTTTTCTTCTCCCAGGTGAAGCTTTCTATTTTTCTCTATGCAGACAAATGTTGCCTCTTCCCATCCCCAGGCCAGACATGGCTGCTTCCCCAGGGCCCTGCTTTTTCTTCCTGGCCCCCAGGGACTGCACAGTTGGTGGAAAATTTGGCCAAGGAAGCTGGGGGCCCGCAGTGGAAGTCAATCGGGTGGCCTAGACCAGGTTCTCTGGATCCCAGCCCTCTTCATTTCCTCCAGGTCAGCCACAGCTGCCTGAGAATGCTCCCAGGTGCATGGTGTGCAAATCCAAGCTGGGGCGACCCTCCCTGCCTCTCATTCCCTCGCAGCCTTGTGAGACTGGAGCTCTCTGCGCCTCCCAGCCAGCACAGTTTGCAGGCAGCTGCTTGGGTCATTGTCTCAGCCTCTTCAAGCTGTGAATGCTGAGTCTATAGAGACTGAAACACAAACAGTGCCCACAGTGCCTCTCGGGGAGGGAGGGGCAGCTTGGCCTTGCCAGAGCCATTGACTGTGCAAATATCAAGGCTTGCTGTGGATGGAGGAAAGCTGGTTGGAGCTATTTAAAAGGGGGGGTCTTTTGACACCACACTGCGCAGCACCATGGAAGGGCTGTGGTGTGTGCTAAGGGCCGGCAGATGGGAAGAGAAGAGGAGAGGTCAGTTCTCACAGGGAATACTGCTTCATCGTGAGATGCCTGTCTGCTCTAAACCAAGGAAGAGAGAGATGGGGGAGGTCACTGGGCACAGTGCAGGGGACAAGAGACCGAAAAGAAAAGGTAGCTAAGTGGGCAGATCAAGAGAGTGTGGTGAGTGAGGCTGGGGCAAACAAATATCCTAGCAATTGGAGGGCAGTGAATGGCAGCTTGCTGTGTGACTCAGGGCAATACACTTACCCAGTTTGGACTTGGGTTTCACATCCACTGTGTGGGCCCGGGTAAAAGGTACTATTAAACACTCAAAAACATTTCCCAAGTATTCTACACCAAACACCTATTTATTCTGCAGTTCAAACTCTTTCTTAAAAAATAATATTTAGAAAGGAAAATCAAGGGCTCTTGCTGACCCCATTTTCTGCAGCAGGCTCTTGGACAGTGCTATGGGATGTTTAGGACTCTCCTCTCACAGGCCCCATCCCGCACTCTGCATTTCCAACAGGGACAAAGCTCCTTGTGTTGCTTGGGGAGCTTCTTGGCCTACTAGAAGACAGCTAATGCTTCTCCCCAGACATCCTGCTAGGTTTTGACCGATGATCAGTGCTACCAAGGATCTGATCCCTGAGCCCCAGCGTCCAGCTTGGGCTCCTGGACTCCACTCCTGCTAACACACTCTGTGATGTGTCTGCTCCATCCATGTCCCTGCCCCCAGGAGCTCTCGTGAGATGCCTGTCTGCTCAAAACCAAGGAAGAGAGAGATGGGGGAGGTCACTGGGCACAGTGCAGGGGACAAGAGACTGGAAAGAAAAGGTAGCTAAGTGGGCAGATCAAGAGAGTGTGGCGGGTGACGCTGGGGCAAACAAACCTCCTAGCAATTGGAGGGCAGTGAATGGCAGCTTGCTGTGTGACTCACGGCAATGCACTTACCCAATTTGGACTTGGGTTTCACATCCACTATGTGGGCCTGGGTAAAAGCTACTCTGTGCAGGAGAGATGCAAGCCCTGTTGCAGCCAGGCAGCCAGATACCCATGAGCTCTGCGTTTTCTTATTCCATGAAGGGTTGACTCCCACAGCAATGCCAACCTACCAATCCTACGACAGTGTCATTCATGTACACTCTCAGAGCTCTGAAGGCACCAAAAACCCAAGGGCGGCAAAGGCAGAATTCAAATTCCAATCCCACTGGCTAAATGCTGACCACAAGCCCTGAATGTGGTCTCCTTGCAGGGCCACTATTGGCTTTCTTCTCTATGTCCCATCTCCACCAAGTCTTCAGCCCTTTATTCTTTAGCATAGAGATTTTCTTTAAATAAAATCTTACTTTTCTCAGAAAATTCCAAACAAATTTGGAGAGAGAGGGGGAAAATAACCCTAGTTTCGCTTCTTATACCTGTCCCAAAATTTAGAATAGTTTTCCTTGTTTCCAGCACTTGTCGTTTTTCCAACTTTCCTAACACCCTCTTCCCGGGCCTGGCTCCAGAAACAAAGACAAGTGAAGGTGCTTGAGTATTCATTCCATTATACAGATGGAGAAACCGAGGTGCTGGGTAAGGGGCAGGAGCCAATTCTGCCAGAGCGTAACTAACCTCTTATCTCCCTCCTGGGACCAGGGAACAAACGGAGGGTGAGCACCGGTCAACAGGTGAGAAATCTTTAGGAAGTGGGAAGGGCTACAAGTGTGAAGGCAGGCACTTAGTTCCTGTTTGATTCTTTGACACCAGGCTCTTCCTGACCATCTGCTCTCAACCATCTCAGTGGGGCCTAAACCTCCTGCAGGATTGTGCTGGGAGGGGCTTCCAGCTCCCCATGCAGTTCAGATCTTTCTCTCTAAGTCTGTGGGCCAAGAAAGCTGAAGAACTTGAAGAACTTGACCCCCTGTGGGTCACTCAGAGTGGGGCGGTAGACTCAAATTTTGTTCATTTACAGATAAACCTCAGGGGGTGGGGTGTTTGCCTTACAGAAAACCTCGTAGCCTGGGTTTTAATGTCACAGAGAGTGAAGGGACTTGTTAGAAAGTTTTAAGCAGCTGGAGTCAGGGTGGGGCATCAGTGTTGTCAGGGCACTGTGAAATCCCAGCCGGCCCTGCTCCTGGAAAACACCACTGCCCTAAAACGTGGAGTGGAGACCTGGAACGAGAGCTTTGCTGACTCACGAGGGGCCTCCTGCCTGTGGACGGGGAAGGAGCCTGGGTCTTCCTGTCTGGCTTGGGCTGGGCTCCCGCTAAGAACGCTGTTCTCAGTGAAATTCAAAAAATTGGCTCTTCTCCTTCAGGTATTTTTGTTCCTCAGGAGAAAAAAATGGGAAACCGGGGAGCAGTCAGGGGAGGTGGGAGGTCAGAGGCCAACGTAATATTTACCCAGCCTAGCCGAGGCCTTTCACTTTTATGAAGCAGGAAACCACTTCAAAGCAGCAACATCCCCTCTTGCCACTTCTGTCTGCCCGCTGGTCCTGCTGCCTCTATAAGGCAAGGCAGGGCTTTTCTACACACCCCTTCCTCTGCTCCTGAACCTTCCACCCTCTCTCCCTTAAAGGGTGGAGCACACTGCCTGGCCGGCTGCTCCCTCTAACCCCTGCTCAAAGGTAAAAAGACCTGCCCATAGTCACAGAGCAATCACAATCCATAGGCTCCGCTGACATTCTGAGCTGTCCCTGGCGTGTTCTCGTTCACTCAGTGAGTTGTCTACCACTCTCAGAAGCACTGGGGTTACAGCTCCTCATCCAAAGCCCTGTTCCACCACCAGAGCAGAAGCGGAAATGACGGCTAGGAAAGGCTCTAGAGACTGGAATCTAGTGGTTCTTTACATTGTGGAGGGGGCAAGAACTCCTTCTCTTCGGAAATACAAGACTACACATACCCACATCATTCTTGAAGATATAGAATCTCCAAGGTTTCACAGGCCTCTTGAAGCCCAAGTATGGCCCTAGCTCTGTGCTTCCCAGTGCAGGGGTCAGTTCCCTGACAGCATCACTGATGTGGCTCCCCCAGCCTCAGACGAGGTGCAGGGAGAGCATGACCTTCCTTTATAGGATTAGAGACAGCCTTTGAGTTGAAATCTTCGTCCTTCTAACCTTTCTCCATTAGCATCCCTTACCCTCTTTATGGACAGAAAGCTTAAAGCAGAATGGCTACCTTCTCTTTGAGTTGAAATCTTCATCCTCCTAACCTTTCTCTATTAGTATCCCTCTACCCTCTTTATGGACAGAAAGCTTTAAAGAGATTGGCTCCTTCTCCAGGTAGCAAGCACATGGCAGAGGCAGCCCGAGGAGTGGACAGCCAAGGTGTAGGGATAAAATCCAAATCTTCCCTCTCAGGTCCTTCCATTTAATAACTTCATTCAGATAAGAGTAGATGCATAATAGCAGGATTCTGGACACTTAAATGTGAATGTGGATGAGTAATAATATTTCCTGAGGCACCACACTGGCCTCTACACGCCAGCTCCAGAAGTACCAGAAAGGGATGCAATTTACATAGAATACAACACGAAAATCCTTGGGAGTGTGCACCCTGGAGTCCTTGCCGTAGGATATTGACTAATAGAAAACAACTCCAGCGCTGTCCAGTTTAAAATCCTCAGAGAAGAACGAGGGGAAAACTGGGTAGGTACGGGTAGCTGTGAGAGGCTGGAGACTGCGAGAGCATTAAATAGTCATCCTTCTTCACAGGAAACTGTGAAGTTCTCCAGCACCTCTGAGTCTCTCCTGGAAATCTTCACCTCCCATGACTTAAAGCAAAGGCTTTGAGGAGCTGTCTGCTCTCACTTCCTCTGACCCCCTAGTACACACTGTTAATGCCATTCTGCCTTTTACTAAAGGTATTTGGGGGTACTTGGCTATGCAATTTCTTCCTCCACTCCCTGAGTGTACTGTAAATGCCCTGAAGGTAAGATCTATTACTTTTTCATCCTTGTATTAGGAGGGAGCTACCACATTCTTGGCACCACACAGGTGATCGATCCCTATTTATTTAAACTTAAATGAATTCCAATTCCCGCTTTCAGTGTCATCCTATTTGGTTCAGTGCAAAGGGTAAGAATCTCTCCTTCTTCTATCCCTCTATACTATGGTTGAGAGGGAGGCTGTTTAGACAGAACAAGAGAAAGCCTGGGAGAACAACTCCTCCAAGAGGGCTGGGAGGTGCTAGGGTTCCTCTGTCAGAAGCTTCCGTCCTCTCAAAGCGTCGGAGAGAATATGTGTGTTTTGCGGGGATCAGAGGAGACAGGCTCATTCACCAGCTCTTCACTCGGAGCCCTGGGATCCCTCCTCCTCTTCCCTCTGAAAGACAAGTTGAACTTTCCAAGGGCAACTCTACTACCTTTTATCTTTCACCCTCAAAGTAATTTTAGCCAAAGAAAAGCAGAATTAAACTTTCATAACACGATACATTTATCTTGTTTTTCTTCTTTCTTTTCTCTATCCTCCCTTCCCCCTGCCCTGACGTCCAGGTACATCTGAGCTAAAGCAAACCAAGATGAACTATCAAGGGATGCTATCAGATTGGAAGAGACGGGGCTAAGCTCTCTGGTCTCCTGCCCATCCCAATACTTCAATATTTTTCCATGCCCCTGTTAGGCAGTTATTATCTCCTTAGATAAGAAAAGCCTCTGGACTCTGCTGTCTCTCAATATTGTCCTCTGCTGAAATGAAAGGGGGAATTATAATTCAGAGAAAGATTCCCACAGAGAATATGAAGAAAAAGATTAAATCAGCGATACAATGTTGACATGCATTCAGTTCCTGAAAGCTCTTTTAAAAAAAAGTCTCCTCAGGAGCAGTTTTGCTACTACCTGAGAGTCTCAAAAATCTGTATTTAGGGAGTTGGGAGATGGGAAGCATGTGAAGGCCCCTCGGGGTTGGGTCAGAAACTTCTGTTGCTGATAAGAACGGCAAGGGCCTTTTGGCGGGCCAGCCAGCAGATTGGACTCCCTGTTAAGTTGAGAATGCACTCCCTCCCTGCCACCCAGCCCTAGACGTGACCTGTTGGGGCAGGCCTCTCCGGAGTTGCTCACAACCCATGCATCCCAGCTTAATGCTGCAGGCGCCTTCTCATCCTCTGCAAACAGACAGAGGCCCAAAGGTCCCACTGGCAATAGGACCCTACCAGTTGTAGTCTCTGGGAAGTGACGGCTGGGAGTTTCGAATATATCTCATCTATTAATATTTTTTTTCTTCTAAAAAAAAAAAAAAGCACAAAAGCCACTGTTTTGGGCCAAGCCTGGCTTTCAAGAGTCCCCTCTAGTGGAGATAACCTGCTACTTCGGCTTCTCAGTTCAGCCCAGAGCCTCCCTGGCCAGTGAAGATTCAGAAAACCCCCTTCTGCCTGCAAGGCTCTCTTTCCCACTTTTCTCTTTGTGTTCACTCTGAGCTCTGTCCACCCCCATTCACACTGTTAATCTCTCTGTCTTTATCTTCCCTTGCTGTCTTCCTCCCTCTCTCCATTTATCTGTGCCTGTGCCCACATCTTGACTTCTGTCTTTCCATGTGTGCCTTTGCTCCTGCATCTTGATCTACATCTTCCATCCACCTGCTGGTTTTCTTTGATGTTCAGGATTCCAGGTCTGACTTGTTAGGAATGCCTTGGTCAGGCCTTGGACCACATGGACTCACTTCAAACGGCCAAAACAGCCACCCACAAGCCAGATCCACAGTGAGAAGCACTAGGAAAATCCTAGTGGTTATAGAGCTGTCTATAACCTGAGCTCAGAGCTCCTGCTCCGAATCCTGTGTGAAGCCGGCTGCTCCCTTCAATAGATTCTCCCCACCTCTGTGCCTGCTTCCCAGTCTCTGACACACGCCCTGCCCTGCAAACAACTGGCAATGCCTGGGTAAAGGGACAACTGGCAGTGCGTGGGAAGAGTATGCTGGGGTAGGGGAAGAAGGTGAGGAAGAGGTGAGTGGGGGTCAGTGGCTGAGCCTGGGGCTGTGGCAGGACAGTGGAGACACAGCAAATGTTAAGCTGGGGTGAAGGGGGGTATGGGGGAACACCTGCTGGTCCTCTGAGTTTCCCAGAGATATTCTTTCACCCAAGAGAGAGACAGAACCAGAGCAGGGAAGGCGGTTAATGGTTAACCAACTGTAGAAGCAGAGAACTTTTGCACTGCTCAGGCCTCAGCCATTTCTTTCAGCTCTGTGCCCTTCCTTCCTCCTCTCCCCTTACACTCTTACCCCGCAAGGACCCTGCTCCCCAACAAAGAACTTTCTCGCCTCTATTTATGCCCTCCAATTCCAGATGGAGCAGTGTGGAGCTAGATAAAGAGGTTCCATATGCCCAAATGCCAGGGAATGAGGCCCAGGAGAGCCTGAGGGCTAAGCCCAGGAGGACGGGGATATCCTCTTCTTACCAGCCATCCCTCCCTCGTGCCTTGAGACCAGCTGTTTGACCCTGGGAAGAACTGCCTTTCTCTCTGTCTCCATAGGGCTCACCTTTAGAAATGACCGAAAAAGAAGTGGATGCACACCCACCCCTCATTTACTCTAATCAGGCATGAAATCTTTGTAACGAAGTGAAAAAACTGTTCAGGGAACTGGTTCCATTCATCATTGTTTGAACTGAGCATATGTGAAGGGTAGAAATAGAATATTCACATATAATGAATTGATAACAGACTGCCCCTGGGTGGGGCGGTGGTGATTGGGGCTGAGGGGGGAACGCACACGAGCTGTAAAACTCCCAGCACCTCAAAGCCTGTTTCTACCAGTTTCCCTATGGACAGTCAGTCCTGAATTATTTCTAGTTAACAGACTGTAACACAATGCTCCAGTCTCTTTATGATCAGAATGGGGGTGGGGGGTGGGGGCTTGGCTAGGCGCTCCTTGCCTCTCCATTTGCCATGATGGACAGAAGTATATTGTGCCTCAGTTCGTGTGTGTGGAGACAGCTGTGTGGCAATGCAGGGAGACAGCTGGTGGTGGTGGGGAGGTGCTGCTGGAGACAGGAATTGCCTCCCCCACACCAAACCCTATATCTTAGGGAGGCAATCATAGAAAATGAGGTAGGATAGAAACTATAAAACCCCCAAACAGTGACAACTCCAGCACCATAAATATTTCATAGCACCTAAAGTGGTGAGTTTAGGCTGCTGTCAGCTGCTGCCTTGTATATTTAACCATGTCACTGGTTTCCCCTCCTGTTCCTATGTTTTCTTGTAACCTGCCCATGAAATAAAGATTAGCTGAGTAAGCAGAAGTATTGGTAAATGGGAAAGGGACCTAGGAAACAGGTAGCTGTTCTTTGAGGGCTTTCTTTTTAACCTCATTTTAAGTGCAGACTTCAGTAAAACAGATGGTGAAGGAACTTTTACATTCACCGCATCTGCAGCTTTTGATGGTCAAGAGAGTTGCAGGGTGAATGTTCCCTGGTGCTCTGAAGACAGGGATAGGTATTCAGACTAGCTCTGAAAGGGGGGCCACCAACCTTGTAATGACATGGTTTTGGGCGATGGACATAAGACACTGCCATACTCTTCATTTAGACTTGGGCTGAAAAGCTAGCCAGCCCCCCTGTCCTGCTCCAGGCTTTGAGGGACCCCTGTCCTTATGCCCTGCCAAAAAGAAGGACCAGCTGGGATTTCCTTGGCAGACTCATGGTCCCTGGATAGAGATCTCCTGGTACTTTACCACTGCTGCTCCTCAGCATCTTCCCTGCACATCGCTCCAAATGTCATTTCCATTTAACTGCTTTGCAAGCCAGTTTGCCCCCATCCTAATGCAATTTGCTGAGGACAGTGAGGGAGCAGAGAGGGTAATCTGCATTGCCCTCCCTTTATCAGCAGGTCCCTGAAGACGATCGGCTGCGGAGTGGAGGGAAATAGCTCCTTTAGGTAATGCTGGTTGGTGGCAGCAGGGGCAAGTTCTGGAATGAGGAGGGGTTGGTGGTGATGCCAGGTGGAAGAAGGGGAATGAAAAACAACCTCGCTATGACAGATTCCACTGTTTCCTTGGTTCCCTACCCTTTCTCTTCACTGCCCCTTCAGCCTCCAGGCCACCACCAAGGAGAGATCCCAGGTAATTAGTTCAAATGGTGCTCCGTGAAGAGAGAGGGAAGTTAATGAATTCTTCTCTTTTCTTGCCTGGAGGTCAGAGGGGAGAGGGCTGCAAGCAACTCTGGGAGCTTTCTGGGGTTATTGCATAAAAGTTGTGCATTTCAGTTAGGAATAGCTGAATTCCTCCAGCCAAGGTTATCTCTTCCTGGGGCTCTGTCAATCAGTAGAAGGCCCCAGAATCCAAAGCCAACCCAGAGGGAAGAGTGAAGTTTCAAGATCTGGGAAAGAAGCCCAGCAAAGGAGGGAGACTGCTATTGTGTGGGGAGAGGGGAGAGCTAAACCTGACTCCTGCTCTCAAAGCCTCCAGCCCAGGCCAGCCAAGATACTCATCTTGGCCTGCCGCTCATAAGCCTTGTCCACTGTGCGCGTGAATGGAAGGAAATGAATGTGCCCCCAAATTTCTGTGGGTTCTTCCAAACTGATGGGCCCCCAAGTGACTGCCTCAAGCTATGACTGGCAGTCCCAGTCCCCTCAAACTGATGCTGCCTTCATGTCCCTTGTGCACTTTCTACTGGTGTGCCACTGTCACTCTAAGATTCCTACAGGGGACCTGTTCAGATTTCCATTGCCCACTTCATGGGGCTCTCATTTCTAGACCCTTACTGACCTAGAGCCCCAAATCTTTTATCCAACTTCCTCCCCACCATTATTTCTATCCCTCCTGAGCAGAGCTGAGTTTGAGTAGGTAGCTCCCACTAGGGCAAGGGTCATTCCAAACAGGTGGACTTTTTTCGGGGATCTAAAATGGTAGTTTCTGGTGACTCTCTGGGCATCTAGACCATGATTGGCATTATAGAGACTACCTGTGGGATGGATAAAAAGGGCTAGAATTTTCTAGGATCCCTACCTCACTTGTGGGGTGGGGCAAGAAAGAGCACATGGAAGGAAACATTCTCAAATGGTTCATAAGGAGCCTCTGGGACCCTAAGCAAACTCCCATTTCAACCCCCAGCACTCCTGTGGTGCTCAAACTAAGGGGCTGGACCCCTGCTGGGCGATACACCGCAAAGGGAGCCCCGGGAGATGAAACACTTAGACCCATTCAGTGCCTAGGAATCTCTCCCTGAGCCTTATGGAACCCGCGCAAATGATGTTTTCCCATTCCCCTGATCTCCAGTCCCCGATCGGAAGGGAGAGCCGGCGGCCACCAGGGACCCCGGCACTGGAGTGAACGCCCCCAAATCGATCGCTGGCCAGTGTGGCTTTGGGCTGTCTCGCTGGTGCCACCGAGGCCCTCTTTGGGCTCCAGCTCTCAGGACAGCCTTGCCGCCCCGAGCTCCCCAAAGCCGCAGAGCGCCGGCAGGTGCGCGGTGGAGGCGCGCCGCGGAGCGCTGCTGCCGCCCTCAGCCCGCATTCGGGAAGCCGGCGGGCTGCCGGCCGGGAAGCCCTCGGCGGGAGGCAGCGGCTCCAGTGAGCCTGCGATCGCGCGCACGCCGCGCTCCAGCCCGCGAAAGTGGCCGAGCCCACGCGGGGACTCGCCCGCCGCGGCCAAGCCGGGTCTTCTGGGGCCGGGACCCCAAAGAGGCGGGCGCGGGAGAAGCCGCCACGGGTGTGCGCGCCTGTGGGGAGAGGGCGGAGGGCGCTGCCGACTCCGAGCGCCCGGCCCAGCCGCCGCTTACCCAGCTCGGCGACGTCGGTCTGTCCTTCCGTCCCCGCTCGGTCTACCTCGGCCGCCGCCGGCTGCTGAGGGCGGCGCGAGGCCCCTCTCCCTGCCCGCAGCTCGGAATCAGGGAGACGACCAAATCCACATGGAGTCCAAATTCATTAAAATCCACGTCAAGCCACCAGACACTTATCTGTATTCCTGAAGTCGCTCCTCGGTCTCCGCTCCGCGCGCCCCTCAGTCCTCCGTCGCCCCGCAGCAGCCCGGCTGGGCGCTGTCGCCGGCTCTCAGGGGGCACCCGGAGGCGCCGAGGGGGCGTGTGGGGGCGGCCGGCGGTGTCTCTCCTGAGGAAGAAGCAGAGCCCCGGCTGTCTTCAGATTTTTCCAGCGCGACTTTCCGGGCTCCTCTGACATCAGCAATCCCGGCGCTTCCTTCCCTTCTTGCTCTCCGGTTCGTTCACAGTCCCATTTCCTCCGGGAGCCTGGCTTTCCAGATCTATTTCGAGGTTTGCTCCGCTGGCTGCGGCGCTCGCACGCCCTACCGCTCCCAAGCTCTCGGGGTCTCTCTCCGGATCGCTCGCCCTCTCGGCTGAAAAATTCCCAGCAACTGCCCTCCGCCGCCCTCCCGCTCCAGTCTGGCGCGGATGCCGCTCCTCCCGGCAGCTCTGGCTCCCGCGGTGGCGGCGGCGGCGGCGGCGGCGGCGGCGGCGGAGGAGCCCTGAGCGCCGGCCTCCCTATTTCACCATGCAGCTCATTATCATAGAGGCCGCGCGCGTTAACCCCCTCCCCGCCGGCCGCGTCCGCCCGGGCTGGGGCCGCGCCCGCTGCTGGCACCGCCCGCCACCGCCAGCACCCTGCCCCCTCCCCCGCCCGCGCGGACTTCCTCCTCCGCAAGCTGTCAACAAAGGAGAAGCAGGTTTGGCATCCGGAGGCCGCTCGGCTGCCTGTCCTGCGCCCAGCTCAGCCCGGACCCATCGGCCACCTTAAGTAGCCAAGGGGGCAAGGAAAATGCTGCCAGGGCCCGGGAATTCGAGTCGGGCCTTGCGAGCCCAGCTGGCTTGGCCCCCGGGGGAATAGAAGGTCTAGCGTTGGGGTTAGGGGGGAGCTCAGAACACAGGAAGAGTGGGTGAGGGCAGTAGGGACAGGGAATCCCCCCCATTCGCATCACCTGTCACCGCACACATCCTGCACACCTCCCTCTTCATCTGTAATTTGAGTGAGGGGTGAGTGGGGAGGAACGGGGCTTGTCTGGTAGGGTTGAGACTAGAGTCTTGGAATTTGTGGGAGCAAATTTCCTCTTCTTGTAAATTAAAAAAAGAAAAAGGCCAACAAGCTGTCAAATAAGGCTTGAAGTTGTTGTTATTATTATTATTGCAATGAGAAGATGAACCTTGCTCTGAATTGAATCTCAAACTTCCAGCCCTGATAGGGATCCTGGGCATCTGGTAAGTCCCGACTTGCATGGGGGCATTGGGGACGGGAGAAGAGCTTTCTATATCCAATTCAGAGAATCTTTCTGGCAGGGTAATCAGAGGGGTGGCAATAAGATAACTTATTTTAATAACCTAAGGTGAGAGGTTTCGGGATTCTGGATGACAATGTCTCGGTGCCCTCAAGGCCACTGATTCCTCGCCACACAGTCTCAGTAACTCCGCAGCCTCTAGACACGGCTTTCCGGAAGCGGCCTGCAAGCTGGACCCCAGCGAGTTCGCAGGATCTGCGTAGTCCCTGCTCGCGATTAGAGCGCACACGAGTTTACTCCTGTCCAAGTATTCTGATAAGCTTCCTCTACTGCCCTCTCGTGGCCACAGTCCTCAGTGGTATAAATCTAAAAAACAACAAAAATCACTGCGAATACCTAAAAGCAATTGCACCAAATTCTTAGAGCAGTAGCGGCAGAAGAAACGAAGGGAGGGAAGGATGAAGAAAGGGAGCCGGAGAAAAGAGAGAGAGAGAGGAAGAAGAAAAGGAAATCTAGACTAACCAGTCATCTCGAACAATCGCACATTCAACACAGGACTGGGGGATCTAGGCTTTACTCCAACATCTGCAGAAATCAGCGAATTCTTCAAAAGTTCTTCATTGTAATTAGCTGAAATTTGTGTTCCTGTAACTTTCACTGGCTACTGCTAGTTTTGTCCTGTGGGACCACAAAGAATCTGTCTAAGCTGTGTTGCCTGATCCATACCTGTTCTTTCCTTCAAACTTCTTTAGCATTCATTGTTGGTAACACACCAATAAATTATCATATTTACCCTGTGTTATTATTTATTTATTTTTATAAGTAGATCTTGTCTCCCCATGCAGACAGACTAGTCGATCGTTTTATCTCTGGGTAGACTGAATCTAAACCACAATTTATTAAAAAAGATGATTTGAAGAAGATGCTAGAAGATTTTGGAACACTTCCTCCATTTGTTCATGGAGTTTGGCCAGCTACACCTAAGACCAGCCGTGGTAGGATTGGAGATATCTAATTGATAAAGCTCCAAGCTGAAAATTAGGGCCCTCTGGTTCTAAATCAAGTGGTGTCTGACTCTGGAAGAGGTCACCTCTCTTCCCTATGCCTCAATTTAATCACACCTTGGGAAGATTATGATACAATTGAAATAATTTTCTCATATGCCACCCTCCACTCCTGTGGTCCAGAAATAAATCTTAGAATGAAGAGCAAGGAAGCATAAAATGAAACAGACTCTTCCACTCACCCCATCTTTTATCCCCACACCTCCCCTCTCTTTCCTGAATAAAGGGAGAGAAAGAGGGAACACAGGCGGGAGGACACATTGTGGCTGACAGGGTGGCACGACGCCATCCAGATTCCACATTGCCACTGAACAGGGTCTAAGATCTGAGTCCTGTGAGACTATGGAAGAGCCTGTGGTCAGCATAGCAATGGAAAGAGCGCTAACTTGATCTACTGGGAGGTACAGTGGATGAAGTACCTCTAACTTCTCTAGGCCACAGTTTGTCCATCTGTAAGATGGGAATTTCTGTCTTCACTCTCCAGACAACTGGGGGAATTAAAATAGATATATGTAAGCGTGTTGGAAGAAGTAATAGTATCATCAAAATGGAAAGATTGTTGTTATATTTAGTCCTAATAGGCTAGAACAAATATGGATCTTATTAGCTAAACATCTAATTACCATAACATGCTCTGAGAATTTAAAAAAAAACCAAAACCTTGGGTTCATGGTTCGTATTTAGATTTGACATCCTCTGAGGCAACAGCGGTATACCTGAACCTCTAGTCTTTACATCTGCTCGTTAACCTTCTCCCTTTGATCTGGGTATTCATTCATTTATTACGCAAATATTTATGAAGAGCAAATTTACTAAATTTCTTCCTTTAATGGAACTATATACAGTCCATAATTACTGCTTTGGCACATATTTTTAAAGAAAGCATGGCAATAACCCTACAGATTCTATAACCTCAGATCTATCTCTTTCTGAGGTTTCTGGTTTTCTTGTATGTTTCTGCCCTTCACTATATTCTTCCTCATTCTGTCCATCTGATATCAGGCCCACAGCCCCTTGGGACTGACCAGTCCTCTGTCAGGGCCTTGTAGTTCGTCCTCATTTCCATCTGGAAGGATAGATGTAGTGCAACATATTTGTGAGCAGGCTGTCGATATTTAACAAATATTTATCAAATGAATGAACAAATGAATGAATGGGGAAATGTTTATCTTATGCCAAATCCTCATCATTGGAAAATCATAGCACACTCAACAGGGTTCTCCACTCACCCCAACCTACCTACCTTCCCTAGTCAAGATATTCCTGGAACCTCACCTTGAAAGTCATTTGTCACTTCTGCATTCTTGTTCCAGGCCCCAGGCCTCTTCTTTGCTTGTCAAAGAAGCAAGCTAAGTAACTAGATGGGTTACTTAAGCAAGAGAATGAGAGAAGTGGGAGAGGACAGGGCACCAACATTCTGGAATGCCACAGAATGTTTCCTGTGAAGAATGAATATTTCTCCTGTGGAAGGCAGGTTTGGCTAAGATGCTGCCACCTGCATTTTCCAGGCTGGGAGCAGGCCTTGGCCCTGGAAAGCAAGCTCTTAGACTTTGGGGAGCACAGGCCCAAATGGGCAACTAGCCCATCCCTAGGGGAAGTCCTTTATGTCACAGCAGCAGCTCCAGCCCCACAAATAGATGCCAGTACAGTAGCCCCTCGGATCACAGGAGGTATTTTTGGTGCTGGAAGCCAGCCACACTTTGGCAGGCTTTCAGCATCAAGTCTGTTCCCTTTAGAGGCGGGGGGTGGCAAGCTATCAGTGTTTAGCATGGGAATGCTGCCTGAGAGTGTGTGCATGCATATATTTACGGTGCCTTGAGTCGGCTGGGAGGTGGGCTCAGGAGGATGTGTGCCTGGACCTGTGCTTGGGAGCCAAGGGTGCTCCTGCTTGCCAGTGTCAGAGGGCAATGTTTGGATGGTGCACTGGCTGTTGCCCGGTTTGTACCTGGCTCCCAAAGCTGAGACCACTGATGCCACCACCAAGTTGATTGGTCTCTGCTCTAAGATGCATGTCATCTTTCACTTGCCCTGAGCCCAGGCTTGCCACTATAGACAGGCAGGAATGTGGTCCCTTCTGTCTCCCTACCAGGTACCTCACCTTCATCCAGCAGATGCTGTCAGGCAACCCCAGCAGCAGAGCAGCCTCCCCTTAACCCCTACATTGTTAGGAACAAAGGGATTGGTCCAGACAGGCCAGCCTGGAGTGTGTGGGCCAAGTCCTGTGAATGGAAGAGAGAGACTGCGGGATGCCAGAGTGGTGGGTCTCAGCCCAGGCAACGGGGCTGGCAGCCCAGGACACAGGAACAGGGCATCTGCTCCGGGGTTCTCAGTACCATTCATAAAGACGTCACCCTTCCCTCCCCTCCCCTCCCCTCTCCTCCCTTCACAAATCCCACTTTCCTGTGTACTTTAAACAGTAGCAAGCCTGTTAAGGCTCCAAATCAAACAAGGCAGGATTTCGCTCCTTTCTCACTAAACCTCCCACGAGCAGAGCTTATGTCCCTGTATACCTCGTCCTCTTTCCCTAACCCTCCCTCCCCTCCTCCATCCATCTAGTGTGTTGCTCTGGGAGAAGAATATTCTCTGTGAAGCCCAGGCAACTGCAGTCCCAAACCTACTTAAATAGGTCCCTGGAACAGTTTGCAAGGCTCTGGCATTTGCAAGGTCAGAAGGCTTCAGAGGAGGGGTGGGGTAGGGGAGTGTGGACAACTGGGCTCCAGGCATGGAAGGTGAAGGCTGAGGCTCAGGACTTATTTTTTTTTTTGCTCTATTCCTAGCACTAAGGGTCAGGAAAAGGGCCTTCCTCTCTTATTTTTTCTAAAAGAATCCCCCCAAAGGAGAAACTAATCATTTGGTCACATAATCCCTGGGTAAATCTCTTGGTGCCTCAGTTTCCTCCTTTATAAAGTGGAATAATGTCCCTTGCATTTCATGTCTTGCAAGATGCTGACTATGAAAGAGCTTCACAAGCCAGAAAGCATTATACAAATCCATGGGAATGTTCTCTTAAAACCTGAAAGTTCCATCCGGAGGCAAACCTATTTCCCAACTGTACAACTGCAGTTCTTCTCTTGGTTGGTTTTCTAGGAAAAACAGCTGGGCTCACCAGAAATATCCCTTTGCTTATGGGGTCATTGTTGTCCATCACCTCGGGGTCCCTCCTTCTCTCCTACTCTTCCACTCAAAAATGCTGCAGAGAAAAAGAGATTCTGTCCACAAACCTTCATCTATGGAATCACAAAGCACACCCAGGCTGGAGTTGGTCCTCATTACTAAGCAGCCCACGTACACACCCACACCCTCCCAGGGAGCAAGAGAAGAGAGGGGCGGCTGAGGTGCCTTGGAGAACACGCTGTGATTGCATAGAAATTAGCATGGTCCCATTCCCTGTGGGCTGAGATGTATTATGTGAATGTGCTTTTGGGGTCCACCCCTGCTCAGCAGCCCTCACTGGCCAGGAATCCCCTGCCTGTTCTGAGTCACTGACCTCCTGTCTTTGCTGCATAGCCTGGTTCAGAGGACAGTTGCTGCCAGAACTACAGTTGGGTTCTAAGGCTTTCTGAGGGCTCAATGTCTTCTGGGCGGGCCTGCCAGGGCTTTCTCGGGGTGGGGGGGGGGGGTAAGACTGGACAAAATCAGCGCCATTTATTTGCTTTGAGATCAGAAATTCACAGAACTGGTAGGAAGTAATCATTTTGTCCCATCGTCTTCATTGAGACAAAACAATACTTTTTCTTCAGTTGCCCATAATTATCAAAATATAATGGTATAAGTTAAAATATATTGAATTCCTACTCTGTGCTAATCCTAATCCTCACAACTCTAATCTTACAAGGTAATTAAGTAATTATTATCACCCACTCCCTCTTTTTTTTGAGTCAGTGTCTTGCTTTGTTGCCCAGGCTGGAGTGCAGTGGTGCGATCATAGCTCACTGCAGCCTCAAACTCTTGGGCTCAACCAAGCCTCTTGCTTCGGTCTCCAAAAGCTCTGGGATTACAGGTGTGAGCCACCATGCCTGGTTTATCATCCCATTTTACAGATGCTGAAACCGATGATCAAGAAGTCACATGATGGTCCTAAGGTCACACAGGTAGTGTGTGGTATGGCCAGAATGTAAATGCAGGCTGATCTGGCACCCATTTTCTCGAATTTTGCCCTTTTCTGATGAGGAGAAAGTGATGAAAGTGTGGGGGCCCATCAATGTGGGAGTTTGAAAGCCAGTAAGTGGGAAGCAACAGGCCTCAGCCTGCTTCTTAGCATTTCCCCGGCCAAAGACCTGGAGCCCCTGCCACAGGAGAATGCCCCCAGACTCATCACGAATCAGGCAAAGCATCGCAGAGCTTTAGTTCTGCCGAGGGTCAGGAGCATCGTTTTCTCTTACAAAGGAGAGCATGTTGTTGTAATTGTTTTCATGATTTTTTTAAACGATCATACTAATGAGCTCAATTCTCCTCTATTTTATAGTGGGTGTGTGTTTAATAATGGGAATTGGCCTGTAGGAAAGAAGTTGCCAATACATGCAAATCTCTGCTAGCTTCTGTCACCTCTGCCCTGTACAACACCACATATGTGGCCACGCCTGCCTTTCAGAATAATGGGATAATTGGGTGCAACCCGTGTCACCCCCACCCCTTAAAGAGAACATGCCAGTCGGTCTTTGTGGAAATCCACGGGGAGCTGGGTGAGCAAAACGCCAGTGTCTGACTTCGCCTTGATTGCATCTGTGCCCTACAAACCCCAACAGAATTGAACTCACAGCTCCTCCTAATTAGGGGAGAAAGAAAGACAAGAATGATAGCAGAAGAATTTCTTCCTGCTTCTGACTGCAAGCTCTTCAGGGACAGCCCATTAAGCCCCCAGCCTCCAACTTCTGTTTCCTGACTCATATCTGGAGTACCTAACACGGTGCCAGGTTCTCCCTGGGACTATAGC
Source organism: Homo sapiens (assembly GCF_000001405.40). NCBI lineage: Eukaryota > Metazoa > Chordata > Mammalia > Primates > Hominidae > Homo > Homo sapiens. Next base: position 208,251,085 of record NC_000001.11, read on the forward strand.
CCCGAGTGTGACAAGAGTGATGAACAGGGGCTGGTTTGAAGAGCCAGTCCCTGCTCTGGGGGCCTGTCTCTGGTATACTGTGAGGCAATGCCAAGTGGCGGCCCAGGGGGGATCTGGGAGGCCTCAAGCCAGACAGGTGAAGGCTGGTCCAGGGCCTTGCAGGGGTGGGTGGGACCTTGCCCGGGAAGGAGGCTGGGAGAGTGAAGTCCACCACTCCATGCAAAAATAAACAAACACGCTGTTTAAGCAAATCAAATATCCTGACATCCAGGTGCAAACCACAGTGCCTGCCCCATGCTATAAATTTAGGACAGGGTGTGAATTGCTAGTGTCTGAAAAGAAAAATCCAGAAGTGGCACAAGCGCTGGGCAGGCAGGGATCAACTGCATCAGCGCTGACATCATGAAACAATTAATAACCACATTAACAATGTTTTCCATATTCTGAGTTTCGAATTCCTAGAAGGAAAGGTCCACGTTTAGGTTTCCCCTCTTAGTCAGTTTAATATTAAGTTCATTATGATTCCTTTTGTGAAATACTCTCTTGCCGGGGATTATGAGTGCTATATGGGACAGAAAAGAAAGATCAGCAAAAGCAGTTCTCTTTTTCCATCATTCCCTTCTGGCTTTCCTCCTCTTTCTCTCTGGGGCTGCAGCACTGATTTTCTGGAATGGCTTCTTTTGACTTAGAATCAATCAGTGCTGGTAGGATGAAGGCTGCTGTCTCCATTAACAACAGCAACAACAGAACTAAAAAAAAACTCCACCTTGGGAGTCGGGAGACCTGGGTTTGATTCCTGACTCTGCACTCCCTGGCAGTGTGACATCACATAGGTCACCTTCCCTCCTCTGGCCTTGGTTTCCCCACCTGTAAAAAGCAGGAATTAGCTTTGATGCACCCTCTACTCCCCAGCACAACCGCCAGCTTGCTATGCTGCCGCCCTTCCAACTCTCTCCTTGGAGAACGGTGGAAGGATGTTGACGCCAAAAAAAAAAAAAAAAAAAAAAAAAGGCTTCTTTTAATGCCTAAGAAACTCACTGCCTAAAAAATCAACGAGGGAGTGCAATCCAGGGACAGAGCTGAGAAATAGGATTTTGCCTTTGAATTATCCCAAGTCGGATGATTTCTCTCTCTGCCTGTCTTTGATAAACGCTCCCATTCAGGGCTCTGGTGTTATGAATCTTTCTGAGTCATGGGTGGCTATAGCCCCTTCGATCCATTCAGCTGACAATATTTCCTGACGTTTCAAAGGCCAAGAGCATAGGACAATCCCGTAGTGTCTCTTTACCTTCTCTCTTCTTCCCCATCCCTCAAGCTCCAGCCTCCACTTTTTCCTGTGGAATTCCTACTTTGGCATTGTTGCACAAGGTCGTGATATGACAGCAAACCCAGCCTTGGCGATTGCCCAGGGTGCGGGAGCCCCAGCTCCTGGTCTCCTGGAGAAGCCGGCAGAAAGCCTTCTGTGGTCTCTCCAGGACATCACCCACCCCTGGTGGAATGACAGGGAAGTTTCCTGGCTTCAGAAAAGCAGGGCAACCTGGCAGCCGCCCCCTCCTCTGCAGTTATCAGTGTGGTTAATAATTATTACCCTGTGTTAATCACGACAGCGGAAGAGTAGCAGGCCGTTATTTCGAAATGATCGGCTCCAGTCAATGACTACTTATGACAGCAAAAGGGAAACATCAGCTCCGGGGAGCCCCCATGTAAATGGGGAGTTGAAAGAAAGATCAGGAATAATGGAACGTGTGTTTAGTTCCATTTTCCTCCCTAAAAGGGCCCTGTCAGAGTAATTTCCCCTTCCATGTACTATACCTCTCCATTATTTACAATATCTTCTTGGGGGAATAAAACAACGCAGAACCGCTCCTCCTCATCTCCCACCCCCTGCCTCACCCTCCCCTCTCCCCACCCCCATCAATTGTGTCTCTTTCTGGAGTTTGGCAAACACAGCTACTTTCTCCTGCTGTGCTTTCAGTGGAGCTGAAATGACTGTGGCTCTAGTTATTTTTTTCCCTTAATCATTCTTTTTCTTTCTTTTTTGCAGGAGAACATTTTCACGAAGCACAATCACAGAAGAACAGAATGTCCTGATGTTTGGGTGAGCAGCATGCATTTCTTTTCTTTTTTTTCTTCCCCTTGAATAAAAATTACACTCCACAACCATAATATCAGAGGGCTAAAGGCCATCTTTCAAACTTTCTCATAATCTTGCGCTACCCTCTGTGCTCAATCTTATTTCTGACAGCCCCCTCCCTACCACCCCGGGGTGTAGTGGTTCCTTGAAGATACTAAGTTCATTTCACTCCCCTGAATCTACGCTCATGTTAATCTTACAGTCTGGAATGTGGCATTCCCCTGCCTCACTTCCCACAGTCATCCAATGCCTGAACAATCTTTAGGACCTTCTCAAGGTCCATCTCTTTTAAGATGCCATGGCGCTTTCTGTTTATACAGAATTTTAAGGATTTGTACACTAGCTTCTTTTCATTGTGAACTTGTAACAGATAAGTCATTTAATAAATATATGTTGAAATATTTTCACTAGTGGTATCTGCTTTTTCAAAAGAAACTCATTTCAGAAATGAGAGAAGCAAGGATACTCAGAGAGCATAAGTGACTTGTAGATCACATGTCCAGGAAATGGCAGAGAAGTTACTGGAACCCAGGTGTTTTAATTTCAAGTCCAGCATTCTTTCTCCTCTGCTGCATTCTGACTGCAATTCCCTCTGACCTCTCCTTTTGCTAATCAGTGTGCTTAATTTGGGCACTTTGCTTTCTTTCTTTTTTTCTTTTCTTTTTTTTTTTTTTGAGACAGAGTCTCATGCTGTCGCCCAGGCTGGAGTGCAGTGGCGCGATCTCAGCTCACTGCAACCTCCGCCTTCCAGGTTCAAGCGATTCTCCTGCCTCAGCCTCCCAAGCAGCTGGGACCACAGGTGCCCACCACCACGCCTGGCTAATTTTTGTAATTTTAGTAGAGATGGGTTTTCACCATATTGGCCAGGCTGGTCTTGAACTCCTGACCTTATGATCTGCCCACCTCAGCCTCCCAAAGTACTAGGATTACAGGCGTGAGCCATTGCACCCCACCGGGGCACTTCACCTTCATCTTTCCCACTAGATTGCAAATTCCTTAAAGGCAAGGGCTATGCCTTATGTTTCTCTTGCACCTTCCATCTGAAGTGAAAGTTTTGTATTAATTCCCTATAGCCATTGCCCATCCCAACTTTTCTTCTCTCTGTCAAGACTGGCACACCATCATGGAGTCACACTTTGGAAGATCTTTGTTCTGATGCTGGGACCCCTGTGGGCCTGGGATGGAAAACACCCATGATCTCTGTTTCTCTCTAAGGCTGACACCAGGACCCATCCAGTTCTGCTCCACTAATCTGGATCCCTCTTTCATACACAGAAGCTGACCACAGGGAATGTCAGGATGCCAAAAATCTCCTTTGGGACATTAGATATGCCTTGAATTTCACCACTACAAGTTCTACCATCAGGGAAAACCACTAACATCTCTGGCCCTGTTTAAACAAGGTACTATCTTCTCTTTCCTTTTGACTGATGAGCTCAGAAAAGACCCTATGATAAAGGAATGTGCCAAATTGCTCTGCAGTTTCTATATGTACCTCATCCCAGGACCTATGAATCACCTCTGTGCTTTTGATGAGCTTTAAAGTCCAACGAATGCTAACTTCTCTTAATGTCATAATTACATTTAACAGTTAATATTAATAATGAATGTGGTCATGTGTATAGCAAGTTGTCATTGACAAAGTTTTCATGTACATTAGAAGCAGGTAGATACATACTAAGAAGACTGCCGGGTTCCATTGCTATTGCTAAGAGCACAGATTTCAGAGTGGGTTTGATTCCTGGCTCCAGGGCTCATTCCACTGTGGTTTCAGCAAAGTTGCTTAACCTCTATCTAATGTCAGTCTCCTCAATGGTAAAATGGGAAAAGAATGTGAACATCATAGAGTTGTTATGAGAATTAAATGAGAGGCTTGTAAACCACAGTGTCTGGCACAAGAAAAACTGCTACTTACAGGACAGTTTCTCTGTGACAGTCATTGTTCTGTCACTAACTGGTGATGTGGCTTTGGGAAATCAGACAGCCTTATTTTCCTCCTCTGGAAAGCAAGAAGCATGGCATCCTGGTATATTTTGGTTTTCAGGCCAACACATTAAAATAGGTAGTCACAGTTTTGATCCCTGCCATAGGCACTATTGTAATTTCCATATATTTGCTCATAATAGTTATTAAATCCTTGGTTCCAGTTTTGGACCTGACCTGAAACAATGCACAATGATTGCTAGAACACAACCTCTGACTCCCAATCCTAACAAAAAATGATGTATTCCTTTCCCTTACTCTGCAAATCTTAGAAAGCAGTGTAATTGTCTCTATTTTCTTTTTTCTTTTTCTTTTTTTTTTTTTTTTTTAGACGGAGCCTCACTCTGTGGCCAGGCTGGAGTGCAGTGGCATGATCTTGGCTCACTGCAACCTCCAACTCTGTGGTTGAAGCAATTCTCCTACCTCAGCCTCCCAAGCAGCTGGGATTACAGGCGCACGCCACCAAGCCCAGCTAATTTTTGTATTTTTAGTAGAGATGGGGTTTAACCATGTTGGCCAGGACGGTCTCGATCTCTTGACCTCGTGATCTGCCCACCTCAGCCTCCCAAAGTGCTGGGATTACAGGCATGAGCCACCGTGCCAGGCCAATTGTCTCTATTTTCAAATGTGGAAACTGAGGCTTAGGAGAGTAAGTGCCTTGTGCAAGGTGATGCAGCTGATATATGATGGATCCAGGGTTGAAACAAGACCTATTGATTCCTAGTCCCATGCACCATTCATGAAGATGCAGGGCTTCTTCTACAAGTCTCTGGATGATTTCTTGTCCTCTGTGCAGATTCCATCTTGGTTTTTGACCCTGGTTTCTAGAGAAGGGAGCACTGCTGTCCACCCCTGGGAACAACAGCATTGCCTCAGAACCATCCCTCTCAGGCAATTCAGTGGAGGAGGACACAGTGACCTTGAGGCTGAGTCCACTCCACTTTGTCTCCCCTTCTGCTCCTCCCAGACTGCCCTGGGAGATCTTGCCTTTAATGGCATTAGTATGTGCCTTCTGCAATGCTGATTAAATTATCTAATTGTTTGGAATTGGATGGAGCTCCTGAGTCAGGAATGCCACTTGACAACCCTGGGGACTGGGGTCTGGTTTCTGCCTCAGGAGCCAGCACAAAGTGTGCAATTATTCTTCATGGGGGTAGGAGAAGGCAGCACACATGCAAAGAACCAGTACCCTTCTTGAGGAGGGGAGGGTCCGGTTGGGACTCTGCCTCAAGGGCCTACAATGGCTTTCATTCCTCTCTACTTCTCATTCACAGCCACACTTCTCTCTGTCACGATAGGACAGTGTGGGGATCAGTCTAAAAAGATGTTTCTGTATGAACTCCCAAAAAAGGAACCCTCACCAATTTAGGACTATAGCTTATCATAGTTGGAAAAAACCTTCAGGCCATTTAGTCTTACCCTCAGTTTTAGTTTCCGAGGTTGCATACCAAATGACCACAAACTGGGTAACTTAAAACAATAGTTTTTGCTCTCATAGTGCCGGAGGCCAGAAGTCAGAAATCACGGTTTCAGCAGGGCCAGGCTTCTTTTGAAAGCTCTAGGGAGAAATCTTTCCTTGCCTCTTCCAGCTTCTGGTGGTTGTCCGCAATCCTTGGCATTCCTTGCCTGGAGCTGTTTCACTCCAATTGGTACCTTTGTCCTCATATGGCCATGGCCATCTTCCGTGTGCGTGTGTGTGTGTGTGTGTGTGTGTGTGTTCACATGGTCTTCTCATAAAGACACCGGTCATTGGATTTAGGGCTCACTCAAATCCAGTATAACCTCATCTTAACTTGGTTATGTCTGCAAAGACCCTATTTCCAAATAAAGTCACATGCAGGGGTACCAGGAGTTAGATTTGAACATATGTAACTTTTCGGAGAACACGATTCAACTCCACTCCACCCTCTGTAAGAATATCTTCTACATCAACTCAGCAAGTCGTCATTCTTTATTTCCTTGGATCCATCCGATAACAGGACATTCACCACCTTATAACTTTTAAAGGGTCTAGAATATATTACCAATAACCTTGAATACTGTCATAGTTTTAAAATCCTCTTAGCAAGAAGATTCTTAAATTCTAGACTAAGTTTTTCTTATGAACCTTCATCCAGTGAAAGCAATGATTTCTCCGAAAGCCTTGGGCAAAAGGCTTTTTTCTACCACTGACCTCTTTTCTGATGGCAATACAGTGAGCAGCTGGGAGGCTCCCGTTCCCCATTGCAGTTTTGTGTGCATCCCAGTGAGAGAAAGAGACCCAGCATTATCACAATAAAATACTTATGATTAGCATCCCTATAGGACTCTTTGCCTTCAAAGCCTTTCAGTCCCCTTCTTTGGCACACATTCAAGCATGTTTGCCCACCCCCTTGGGTTTCCTTCCTCCCTCATAACCTTGGCCTTCTGACCTGAATAGTTTTTTGCCCTGCTTCACACTGTGGAAGCCAGGGAGACCAGAGTGAGCCGCAGAGAGTGCACTGAGACAGGCAATTGTGTGTGTGTGTGTGTGTGTGCGTGCACATGTGTGTGTGCGTGCACACGCGTGCACAGTGCCTATGATTAAAAGGGTCTGTTGGGTTTAATGGATGCATTTGATTACCATGATGACTCCCTCCCTGGAGCTTTCCAAAACAGCCAGATGTACCAGGAGGACCACCTCCAGTTTTTGCCTTTGGTTCAAACTGTGGGCAGGGGCACAGGGAATGGTGAGGATTATGTGGACCTGCACAATGGAAGAAAAACTTAAGCCTTATTTCTATAGAACCCAACTGCCATCTCTTTCCACCAGGACACCAATTAAAGGATCTCTAGCCTATCGAGTCCTGGGGATAAAAGTGAAAAGAGTGAAAAGGCAGACTTGGAGGAAGCCAACAGTGCTGCTACTCCTGGGGACCCCCTGCCCCCAGCCTTCCCATCCACCCACTGCCTCCTTTCACTGCTAGATGGATGATCAAGAAAAATCAAATGAGAGAGCTCATTTAAAGTTGTTGTTGTAGGAGGAGATAATCTTTTCTTAGCCCACTCCCTGCTCTCTTTTCAACTTGCACTGGGTGTAATGTCCTGGACCCAGGTCTGGGGATGGCCATTGCCACTAAAGCTTAGGCAAGCGGAGTTGAGTCTGATTCTTGCCTTCTACATAGCTGCAGAGATGTGATATTAGGCTGTTTGGCTGCGATTAGATGCCAGCAACTCTAACTTGGCTTCATTCTTACCACAAGGCTTCAGTGCACTGACTATCAGCTCTGATGACATGAGAATAGGTGAGACTGTCACTGCTGCAGCACAGGAAGTGAAAAGCCTGATTGGTCAGGGAGGCAGGTGACTTTGAGTCTAGTCCTTTAACTGCTGCCTTTAACTGTCTTTCTGAGTCAGGCCACACTTTTCTCACCTTAGGGATTCAGGAAAATCCCCAAGTTTCCTTCTGGCTCTAAAGTCCTGCCTGTGGGTGGAGAAAGTGCCCTTAGAGAGATCGGAAGATTGGTGTCATCTCTGCTCCAGGGTGATCTTAGGATTGGGAAAGGGAAGCAGCTGCTTTTCTAATGGTGGACAGCACTCCAGACCAGAGGGTCACAAAGCTGGGTTCATCCCAAGTATTGACCAACTGTTTGACCTTGAAAATGTAGTTAACCTTTATATGCGACCAATTCTCTTTCAAAAGCAGAAACCACACCCTCCACAGTTCTTAAGTTTTCTCTGAAGAAAACCATCAGGATAAATAAAATGATAAGCTAAATTTTCCTTTGGACTGTGCTAGCAGCATTGCACCATCTCAAGCAGCAGAGGGGAGAATCTATTTAGAAACATCCACTGAAAGCGCCTGTGCTCTATCAGTACATTTATACTGAGTGGCTATGATTTTGATCAATGGTGCTCAAACTGGCTGCATAATAGAAGCATGCTTTATCATTTAATTCGGATTCTTGTTGATCACTTTTGAAGATTTACTGAGTTTTGGGTATAATTTGGCAACCTGTATTTTTAACAAATCTGAAAAAGCTGTAAAGGTAATTTGGATGCTTATCCAGGGCTGAGAGACACTGATTTATGCATTTAATTTAGCAAATTTTCATTGAGGCTGTGGCTGCGTGGAATGTAAAGCTGTGTAAGGGTTGGTCTGGTTTCGGCTTTCTAGGAAATCCTAGTAATTTTTGCTACCAAAGGAGGCAGGCATGAATGCAATGAATTGTAATCGGGTAAGACTCAGGCACCAATAACTACAACAGAGGAGTGAACAATCAGAATGGAGGGTAACTATGAACAATTAGTGTGTCCATTCCAGTATATTGTCAGGCAGGGTACACCTCTGGCTGTAATCAGTTTGATGAGTACTCCATTCATGGTGGTGATGCCTCAGAGGAGCAACACTGGAACTGAGCCTCGAAGAGTCAGAAGGATACAAATATATCTCTGAATTTGCTTAGAGTAATGTGTGGAAGAATACAGTATTGAAAGATAAATCATAAAAATAACAAATTTACCCACAGAAAGAGAGAAGGAATAGAGACCAGGATAGAGATTAGACTTTAAATATGCCATGGTTTTATGGATTTGCTTTTGAAGCTATGCAAATATTTTTACATAATTTTGTAACAAAAGACAAAAAAGCAATTCCTAAAATTTTATAAAGTAAAATGAAAGCAAAAGGAAAGTACTTAAATGTATTTCCAGTTACAGCTTAATCATACCAGGGAAGTATTTCAAGTACTGTAAAAAAATAAGTATTTTTTTATGTCCTTAGTGGGGTATACCCTAAGAGCAACAACAACAACAAAAACAAAAACAAAAACAAAAAATCTTAAGCTATTCTTAGTAATCATATTGTTGGTGGTAGTGAAGTGATAGTGTCTGTGAAGTATGTTAGGTATGTATATTGTTTTATGTGTATGTGTTATATATGAGTAATCATATGATTGTCATAGAGAATGAGGATTTTTTTCTTTTTCTTTTTCTTTTTTTTTTTTTTCGAGATGGAGCCTTGCTCTGTCACCAGGCTGGAGTGCGGTGGCACAATCTTGGCTCACTGCAACCACCAATTCTGTGGTTCAAGCAATTCTCCTGCCTCAGCCTCCCAAGTAGCTGGGATTACAGTCATGTGCCACCACGCCCGCCTGATTTTGTATTTTTAGTAGAGACAAGGTTTCTCCATGTTGTCCAGGCTCGTCTTGAACTCCCGACCTCAGGTGATCTGCCTGCCTCAGCCTCCGAAAGTTCTGGGATTACAGGCATGAGCCACCACACCTGGCCGGGATTTTTTTCTTATGGGAGAAAGATACAGATGTGAGATTGACAAAGTGAAGAAAAACCTGTGGTTCTGTATTTGCGCTGGAAGTATCATTATGAACTTGAGCTCTATATTATTTTTAAAAAATATGTGTTTACTGGCTCTATCTACCAAAAAGAACAAAAATAATGAACAACCTAGTATTACTGAACACCTCTAGCTCTCAGACTATGTTTTCTAAATACCATTTTCTCTTAAAAGGAACCAGAGTTTCTTGAAGAAATGTCTGAGTCCAGATTCATGGAAGGAAATATACAAGTCTGGAAAGTCTTGTTATACCAGAAAACAGAGTAAGTATCAAACACTACTGTCATGTCAAAAGAACTCAGGAATGTACTTGAATAGATTCTTACTGATCAAACATGAAATACTTTGAGAATAAGAAAGGATAATAACTGCAAAGGATTGAAATTCACAACAAATATGTTTACTTTTTGAGTTTATAATGATACTTGTATTAGTCATTGAAAAAACTTTCATTATTTTAAAAACTAAGTAAAACGAGAAAAAATCAAGCATTTATTTTGATTCTCTTATATGATCTATATCTTGGGATGATCAAGTAGATGAGGGGAAGTTGCTCTTTATAAAAATATTTCAACTAAAAAACAAATAAGGAATAAAGCAATTAAAATGTGACAATTTTGCAACCTCCCTAATTAGGGTTGCCAGATATAGCAAATAAAAACATTAGGACCCTTGCTTAAATATGAATTTCAGATAAACAACACATAATTGCTTAGTATATGTCTCATGAAATATTCGGGATATAACAGAGGACTTTAAAAAGTTCATGGAAAATGGAATTAAATATAAAAATAAAAAATAGAAACTTTATTTCTCAACATAAGCCTTGTCAAGTTTAATACACTTTTGTTGGTGATGATACCAGCCATTTAGTCCATCCCTAAAGAACTGAGGGCCCTGGAAATTTAACCATGTCAATGCAGTCTTTTTACATTATTAACTAAAGAAAACGGGTGCCATTTAAAGATCTTTTTAACATTAGGAAACAAAAGGAAGTCAGAAGGAGACAAATCAGGACTATAAGGTGGATATGTAATGGTTTTCCATCAAAACTCTCACAAAACTGCCTTTGTTTTATTTGTTTGATGAGAGGAAGGAGCAGGTATATTGTGGTTGAGAAGGACTTGCTGGTGAAGCTTTCCTGTGTGTTTTTCTGCTAAAGCTTTGTCTAACTTTCTCAAAACACTCTCATAACAAGCAGATGCAATTGTTCTTTGGCCCTCCAGAAAGCCAACACACAAAATGTCTTGATCAACTCAAAAAACTGTTGCTATGAACTTTGCTCTTGACCAGTCCACCTTTGCTTTGACTGGACCACTTCCCCCTCTTGGTAGCCATTGTTTCGAGTGTGCTTTGTCTTCAGGATTGTGCTGGTAAAGCCATGTTTTATCTCTAGTTAAGACTCTTCAAAGAAATGCTTTGAAGAAACGAGGGGGATCAAGATCCACTGAGCTTTACAATTTCCATTGAAAACTCTGCACTTGTTTGCAGCTAATCTGGGTGCAACGATTTTGACACCCATCAATGGTCAGTTTGCTCAACTTTAATTTTTTGGTTAGAATTGTGTAAGCTGAACCAATTGAGGTATCCATAGTGTTGACTATTGTTTGTGCTGTTAATCATTGGTCCTCTTCAATTAGGGCATGAACAAGATTAATTTTATCCTCAAAAATTTATGTGGATAGTCTGCTGCTGTAGGTTTCAAATTGAAAATTGTCGCATCCCTTCTTAAGACGAGTTATCCATTTGTAAGCTACTGGTTTCTTTGGGGCATTGTCACCATAAAGATTTCATAAAACAGCAATGATTTCACCATTCTTTCAAGCCTCCCCATAAATTTGATGGTTCTTGCCTCAATTTTAGCAGAATTCATGTTGCTCTGATAGGAGCTCTTTTCACACTGATGTCTTATCTTTCTTGGTGCATCAAACTAGATTCTGTTCAGACATGTTATAACAGATTAGAATGAGTGTTTTGGTGCAAAAGGTTTTTGAAATCCTTGCGTTGTTTTTTCATAATACACATTTTCCATGAGTTTTTGAAGGCCCCCATACTTATTCTAAATGATCATTCATTGTTTATCTGAAATTCAAATGCAACTGGATATTCTATATTTTGTTTGGCAACCCAACAATGAATTTATAAATCTAGGCAATGATCATTGATATTGTGTGACATCACATACATGCACATACAAAAGAAATGACCAGACCTTATGACCCTCCTGATAGAAATACCATGACCCATGAAGTAGCCTTATCAAATTATTGAGCTTGAATCAATCAAGCTGGCAGATCTAACTACAAGTTTATGGGAAATACAGGGGGATAGAGGGACACATTAAATGATGTGCAATCAGGAAAATATAGGCTGTCGGAAACTCTATACAACAAATGCCCTAATTTTATAAATAGAATGAGAGAGAGAGAGAGAGAGAGAGATAAAACAATCATTGATATTTATTATTATAGAATTATTTTTATATGTTTGACGAGTGCGATATTGCTATTGTGGTTACTATTTTTTAAAGAATCTGTTTCTTGAGATACTTGCTGAAATACTGAAAGTTTAAATATGATTTGCTTCAAAACAATCAGAAGTGTGGGTAATGTGGATGGGGTGTAGCCAAAGCAAGAATGACCACACACTAATCATTGTTGAAGCTAAGTGAGGCATTCATTATACTATTTTGATATGTGAGAAATCAGTATGTTATTTTTGCTTTTGTATATATTTAAAATTATATATAGTATTTTTTAAACAAAATTAAGGAAGATCTCAGTTGATTAGGTAGGATAGACATTCCAAGCACTATTCTAGGTGCTTTATTTATATTATCTCATTTTAATCTCATAGATACCAAATGAAGTAGGTATTACAACATTACTCCTATTTCACATATGAAGAACCAAGTCATAGACAAATCAAGTAACTTGCCTAAGGTCATCTAGGAGTAAATGGTGAAGCTAGAGTTTGAACCCAAGAAGTCTAACTTCATACAGTCTAAGCCCATAATCTTAACCACAACACTCATCCTCTGAACTGGCAAAGTTGGTTTATCTGCTTTGATATTTGTGGCTGCTACTTGGGGTCATCTGGCCCTGTGCAGTCCTGCTTCTCATGTGGTGCACTTGGTAGTGATGGTCTTGTCATTGGCAGTATGCTGTGTTTTGTAGGCATTCTAGCATGAGATGGGTGATCTGACTAAATAGGCTTTAAGGTCATGTCTAATTATGTGATTCTATGATTCTAAGTAGGTTTTCTCCCCCACAAAAGTGAGTGTCCTGAGAGTGTGGTGTGGCAAAACTTTACCTCGAGGAGATATAAAGGCAACTAGAAGAGATATCAGTAACCCAGGATGAGGCAGCACAGGGAGCCTTGAGCTCTGCAGATTGGCAGACGAGTCACAGGGCCTGCCATTCCTCAAGAAAGGCTGTCTTCTTCCTTACCAAGCCTCTGCCCTGCAAAAGGCTGCACATAGAGTGGATACCTCCATTTTCCAGGTCACATACTTGGTTTGGATATTTGCAAAATGTTTTCATCAGCTTCTCAATATAAACATGATTATCTTTACAAAGACCCACTCCACTCCCCCAGGAAGTAGACAGTGCCTGGAAATGCCTTGTTTTCTAACACTGCAGCTCTTCCAAGCTGGACCAAACCTTCCCCAAACTGCAATCTTTCCAAGAGCTGAAACGCGAATGCCTCTCCTTGAAGAATGCAACTGAAGTTCTCTACATGCCAGCTCTTCCTTTTCATTCTAACATCTCCTGTTCTTTTGCTACACACATCTCTTTGAATAGAAGCAACTTGAGGTCACATCCAGAGGAATTGTGCAGGTGGCTTTAAAGGCCAACATAGCAGGCTCTGAAGTTGTAAGAGGTGCATTGGTTTTTATCAGTTTATTGGAAGGAAAGATGGGTCCATGTGCAAGGCTACTTTTTTCAGATTGGGGACAATCTCTTAGGTTGGCAGACACATATGTATTATTTTTCATAACTCAAAACTATCTATGGAACTGCCAAGAGTCAATTCCAACTCTCTGTTTGGATAAGATAGAGGTTTCAAAGGAAAGTTTTCCTTGGCAAAGTGTATGTCTTGGCGCTAACAGTCCTATGATGAAAATACCCAAGACCAAAGGCAATCCAGGGCTGCTTTCAATTACTGGGGTTGAGCTCATTGGGAATAGGTCTCATGATATTCTTTGGATTAGGAGCAGACACTGTTTCTATTGGCAACCAGGGGAAAAAAGAAAGAGATCATTTCTCTGCTATTTGGTGGACTTTTCCAATTATGGAAAGGTAATTCAGATCTTTGGTGACTTTGGAAATCTTCCCACTGGAAAATTCCTATTGATTTTTGGTGTTTGCCTTATTCTGGAGCACTGAGAATATGCTGGAGTGAGCAGAGTCTAAATTGTCCAGGGGCTTGATAAGAATTCTCAGGCAGTGGCACTGGCAGAAGTGCAGCTTGGGACTTACCCAAACGCCTCAGAAGCAGGCTCTGGCTTTTCATGTGAATTGAACTCATTACTAACAAAAGAAGAGCATCCCAGGATGCTGGCAGAGAGCAAATCAGAAACATCTTCAAGGCCAAGAACCTAGAGAAACTTAAGTAAAGTCAATAGAAAATGAACTCAGTAGGAGAGGGTGGGGAAGAATGATATTTCTCTTTTTGGATTGCAAGCCAATAACTTTTTTTTTTTTTTTTCACTTTGCTGACGATCTTCAGTCACTAATAAGGAAGCTGATGCGCTCTGTCTAGACAACTCATTTCATGAAGGTCAAAGAGGGTAGGCCTTGTCCTTTGATCCTTGACACTACTCTGCAGTCTGTTTTGAACTTCACACTTGCTGAGAAATTTGGGTGGAGATGAAATGAGAAAACTTTGACTAAAATAAGCAGTGCCCATTTTTAAATTTTTTATTTTTTTGTCTTAATTTTCAAACAGCTGCATTTGGCTCAGCAGCTGCATGTGGCCCTGCACCCACCCAGGCCCCTATCTCCTTCAAAAAGCCGTGAACCTTCCATGCTGGTCTAGACCCATGGTTCTCCTAATTACCATCTGTCTGATCCTGGGCAAGCCTCAGTCATCTCAGCTGCAGAGAGGACATGCAGTACATCAGTGCTTTGGAATTCCTTTTCCCAGTGACTGAAAATATACTGAATGAATGAATGGCGATTTTGAATACAACATAAGATACACCTTTGGTAAACCCAGTGCATACTAAAAACACAATCCCTTCCCTTCCCTTCCCTTCCCTTCCCTTCCCTTCCCTTCCCTTCCCTTCCCTTCCCTTCCCTTCCCTTCCCTTCCTCCCTCCCTCCCTCTCTCTTTCTCTGTCTTTCTTTCTTTCTCTCTCTCTTTCTTTCTTTCTTTTTTTTTTTTTTTTGACAGTCTCGCTCTGTTGTCCAGGCTGGAATGCAGAGGGCTGATTTCGGCTCACTGCAACCTCCATCTCCTGGGTTCAGCAATTCTCCTGTCTCAGCCACCTGAGTAGCTGGGATTACAGGCATGCACCATGATGCCTGGCTAATTTTTGTATTTTTAGTAGAGACAGAATTTCACCATGCTGGCCAGGCTGGTCTCGAACTACTGACCTTAAGTGATCCACCCACCTCAGCCTCCCAAAGTGCTGGGATTACAGGTGGGAGCCACTGCACCCAGCCAGAACACAATTTCCTTGGTCCCTTTGCAAATTGGAAATGTCCAGGTGAGCTGTTCTCCTGACCACTTCCACCTGAGCCATGAATGGCTTGGCTGTCAGTTGTATCAGAGTTCCCAGCCCTGTCCTTGGAGCAGTAGCCATGTAATCAATATTCCCAATGACAGTCTCATCACAGCCTCTGCCATCTCGATGAGAAAATAGAAGGGGCCTTCTGTCTGCCCTTCTCCACAGACTAGAGGTCCACATACTAGGCTTCCGTGCAAAGAATCACCAATGCAGAGTTGCTGGGATCCATCTCTCCATGACAGTCCCACCCATGGCATTCCCTCCTCTCCCACCTTTCCCAGCCATCCTCAAGCTTTCTGCAGCGGGAGTGGAAAGTGTCTGGAAGGGATCAAGCACTGGCAGAGCTGAGCAACTTCAAATTTAATTTCCTGGAAGGACAAGAGCAACGGCAGTGTGCAGTGACAGAGTACCTTGCCAACCACCCCCACCATGGAGAAGGGGCCCTGAAAGCTACGGTCTGCTTGATGCAGATGGGAGGATGTGGGGGCAGCAGTCAGTCTCCCCTGAATGTGATATGAAGATCTCACCCAGCCCGATGACAATATCCACTCCTTCTTCCCCATCTTCTCTCAACTTGGACAAGGGCTCTGAACAAAAGTCACCTTCCCTGCCTCCTCACCCTTTGCCTTTCTATGTTTCCCTAGGTTCCTCTTGGAACATGCTTGATTGGGACTTGCTCACTCCAAACTGGGGACTTAGCAAGGTTGATTTCTACATTTAGAATATCCTGCCAATATTTCCTTCCCCTCTTCTAAAATCTTGCTCTATTTCATCTCCTTCTGGAGCTCAGATCACTGGTTAACATTTGCATCCATATTAGGGCTCAATTTATCTAAGCTTCACAAAAAGCCAGAGCCAGAGGTGGCCTTAATAGATTACCCAACTGCCTTATGTTCCTTTGGGGAAACTGAGGCCCAGGGTAAGGAAAGAACTTGTACAACTCATGCATTGAGGGAGGGGTAGATCCCTGGTTACAACTCAGCGCTGACCCCTCCGAGTCCAGAACCCTTCCCTCTGTGTTGATTTGTCTTGCTTCTCCTTTTCAAACATCTGACCCATGTTTTCTATTAATTTCTAAACTATCTAAGGGCAGTGACCTCTTCTTCTCCTTTTAGAGCTTCATGGTGCCTACCAAAGCTAATACCTTATACTTTCAGCACATTATATACTTTTAGAAGTTATTTACATTATTGCATTTTTTCCTCATAAGATTACTTTCCAGCAGCAGCAGCAGCAGCAGCAGCAGCGATGTAATTGACCCCCATTTACAGATGATGCAGCTTTAAGGCAGAGAATTCCATGGCTGGCCCAAGGATAGCTAGACATGTGGGCTTATGTGGGAAAACAGAAGGCCCTGGCACAAAATCACAATGCAGACAGTGAAATTGATTGTTACCTAACAAGACCTGAAGCCAAGGGAGCTCTGATGCTCAGAGAAGATGATGGGGTGCTCATGGATTAGCGCACGGTCCGATATTTCCCTGTGGTTCTCCGCTCACTGGATGCCTGATTCTCTTGTACTGTGCTTTAAAAACAGCAATGTTCAGAGTCACAGTGGAGTCAGGAAGAGGGAGCTTGCCATTAGTCCTGATTATTTAAGCAAACTCCCGTTCTTTCCTCCCGCATCCTGCTCTCAAACCTCCAATGTGCTGTGTGCAGATGTGCTATGGGTTCCTAGGAGAATGCTGTGATACAGACAGCGGGACTGGTCTCCTCTTGCCCCTCCCCATCCCATTTGTGCTGGGGGAAATGTAGTCACATCATTTGCATTTATCAGGAGAATATGCCTCCTTGTCTGTAGCCTTTAGTCTGACTGAATTGCTTTTCTGCTTCATGAAACACACAGCGCGGCAGCCCAGTGCTCCTTTCTCCTCCTCACTTCACCGGCGTCGGGCCGTAACCCACTTTGCTCTCCAGCGCATTTATCATATTGATCGTATAAGAAATAGATCATAAGCAGAATGAAATTACCGAATGCAATGATCTGGGGCATCCTATGGACCAGATCAATCTTGGGGCAGCCAGGAAAAAAAGTCCCTTGCTGTGACGTTTTCCGAAGTTGATTTTCATTGCAGATAGAAATTTCCATCAGCTGAGGCACCCTGGAGGGAAAAGTCTGCTGTGCTGACAAGGGGTGTGTGTGTGTGTGTGTGTGTGTGTGTGTGTGTGTGGTCTGAGAAAATGAGGAGGTGGGAGGGAGGGAGAAAGAGGGAGAGAGAGAGGGAAAATGGGAGCTTGAGAAAATTCATTCATTAGAAAGAGGACTTCCTTAGCTAGATCTCATTTGAAATGGATGTTTGAGGCTCTAGCTGTAATAAAACCCATTTTTTCTTGCCTATCTCAGATTCTCTAAATTGTTCTTGTATTGTGTGTGTGTGTGTGTGTGTGTTTGTATGGAAAAAATGGAAGAAGGTAAGACTCTCACTTGTTTAGAAGGCCCCTCAAGGACCCTTTTGAATCTGTACTCCTGGGCTGAGAGCCACCTGTCTTTTCACGCTGGACCTGGTCTGGGAATGTGCAGTGTTGGCAGGAGGCTGGAGTTTTAACAACATAGTTGGTACAGGACAGTGTGGAATTTATTTATAGACTGTTCCTTGAAAACATAAGCTTAAAGCCCCTCTCTCCTAAACCTGAGGCTCCAGACATGACCTCTGCCATCGTAAGAATATTCTCCCTGTCTGGAGACAAGGCTGGTGGGTTCAGCTGAGACTGGAAACCCAAGTGAACAAGGTCTCTGGCAGCCTGCCACCACCTCAGACTGAGGCAGAAACCCACAGTGGGAATGCGGTCCGAGGCCCCCATCGCCCCCTTCCCGCTGTGAAATCCATCCCCAGACACTGAGACTCAGTGTTATTGGCTTTGGCAACATTCATCATGCCAATAAACTCATTGAAATTGAAGAAACCAGAGTGGGGACGGAGATCAGGGAATAGAAGGGGGTGAGGAGGGAGAAGGGAGGGAAGTGTGCAAAGGACAGCAGGGAACAGGAGCTGCCCTCAGATTCTCCGGTGAGCTGAAAGTGAGAGACGTCATGGATGCCAAATAGCTGAATTCATGGAGGAGAGAAGGCACAGGCATGAACAGACCTCCTCCCAATCCTCCAAAGCTGTCTCTGCCTGCTCCCTGTCACCACTGAAGCATCTGTGCTCACGGAAATATCTCTGGAAACCTTCCTGTAGAGCAAATGGCCAAGGAAACACACATGTGCGCCCGCACACACACACACACACACACACACAACCGTCAGTGAGACAATGAGAAATAAAACACCACGAAATATATCTGCCAGGACTATGGGGAAATATACCAGCCACTCATCTGAAGCCAGAGGAGAACCAGGCTGGGTTGAGGAGCTGAGCAGTTTCCTGCTAGCACTACTCTGTCCACATCCCAGCCCTACTCCGGTGCTAAATTCTGCCCTGGTATATGCTCCTAGATGTGCAGAGTTTTCTAGAGTTAGAAATGCTACTCAGAATTCATCCAGGATAGCTCTGTATTGTTTTCCCTGGATAGAGGACTGCCTCTCCTAATCCTGAAGACCCCCAGAAGTGGTGAAAGCCATGTTTCACAGCCCTCACCGTCAGGAAAGTCCCCTCATTACCTGATATTGTAGCCTTGGCTGTTTCCCTTGTCTCTGTCATGATTGGACACAACTGTGCAGGGAAACATCAGAGCCCTGAAAGCCAAGCATTTGAAAACGGAAAACTACCAGGCTGCTCTCTGGACAAAACAGCTCCTCCTTCCATAAACTCTTCTTCAGTTTGTCTATTTCTAGCTGCTATTCTTGCATAGCTGAAGACTGTCTTTACTTCTTAGCGGTCCTGTTGCATTCATTCTTCTGTCTTCCTGTCCCTTGCTAGAGATGTGCCTGTGTGGTCAGTGGAGAGCTGGCTTGTCATCTTAGCTGCTGTATTTCCTCACCTACCGTCCTTTCCATCTTATCCATCAAATATGCAAAAAATTTTCGGAGTTTCTTCTAGGCAAGGAGAGGCAAAAGGATAATTGAAGAAAACTGAGGCTGATTTGAAGTCTGCAAAAAGGGAAGGAAGGATAAAGAGCTCTGATAGAGAGGCAGCATCAGTAATCCAGGAATGTAGAATGAAATTTCAAAGACGTCCTTGGCTTTTTGAAAGCTGAGTTTCGTTCAGTTGTCTCAGACTTTTAAAAGAAGGAGCTAAAATAAGAATGATCATTTGAATTTAGGAAAGACTTTCTTACTTTCCAAAGAGAATTTATTTCATAATCACAGATTATTCTGTTGATGTCCAATCAATCATCTAATCTATGTTGCTAATTGTCACAAGGCTGATCAAAAGCGTGGCTGTCTCAGTGCAACGCCATCCTGGCTACTGGCAAGCATGGAAAAGTCATGTCCTTTCGGCTGAGAGTAGGTTCCTGGATATATGTTTGCAAATTACAGCAAGTTGCTGAGGGAGGGAGCATTCCATGTAGGGACTTGTGGGGGGAGTTGGAGAACATATGTCATGTGTAGGAAGAGAACTGTAGTGTCTGCAGGGCTTCAGACAGCTGAGAAAAACTATGTGGATTCAGAGACTGACAGCAAGAAAGGAATGAAGATGGGATACAGGAATGTTCTCCCAGTGACTCCATGGGAACCTTTTTTATCAGCCAGGGGTTAATTTGAGACAAAAGGCTGGTGCTGTGAGCATGGGATTCCTGCCCTGTCCTGAGCCTGATGGATCCATTCCCTTAATTAAATGCACACAGTTTATTTTACCAACTCTAATTACTTGAAGAATGAGTATCAGGTTTCTTTATCCTTCTGTGGGTCCTGAATCCCCGCCAACCCCACAAGCCTTACGTGCACTGAGGCTAATGGAGCTTTTATTCCAATGAGTTGAGAGCCAACCCACCTTTGTGGAGAGAGGAATATTAAAAAGAAGGAGGAGGAGAAGAAGAAAGAAATGCTTAATGTTTGTCTGGTGGATGAAAAATTTCACAAGATAAATTAAAGTGTTTTCTGGCTGAATGGAGAAACGGGGGGCAGGATGGTAGAGATAATTTTTCCAGGACTCAGAATGATTTATCTTATCGCTGTGTTCTTTAGACAAGAGGTTCCATTTATTTAGTCATTTATTTTATTAGTTTTCTGAAGATACCCCCTATTCTTCCCCCACGTCCAACACAAAGACATAGCACTTGGCACAAGGAGCATGGGGCTGGGAGACAAGACTGGGATCCCTGGATCCAGGCTGTCATTCATTCAGCCCCATGCCAGGCACCAGGCCCTGTGCTGGAGAGACAGCTGTGCTTGCATGGAAATTGTTCCTGTCCTCAAAACCAGCATCAAATGGGAGATAAAGACTCATAAACCAGTGAATATAATTCTCTGTGATAAATGCTGTGCTATCAGAACCTCTCTGCAACCCACATACCCCAATAATGACCTTTGATAAGCCTTCAAGAGATCATCTAGTACAGTAGTTCTCAGGGTGATTTTTGCCCATCAGGGGCATTTGCAATGTCTGGAGATGTTTTTAATTGTCACAACTGGGGGAGAGGGGTGGAATCTCTACCTACAGGGATCTTGTGGGTAGAGGCTAGAATGCTGCAAAGTATCTTTCAGTCCTACAGTGCGTGGGACAGCCTCTTTCAGCAAAGAATTATCCAGCCCAAATGTCAATAGTGCCACTGTTGACAAACTCTGCTTTAGTCTATCCTTCTGCCTCAAGACAGGCCTGTGCTGAACCCATCCTGAGAACTATCTGGCTTCTCTCAAATCTTCGTTTCATGCTGCTGGGCTCTGCTCGGCCACTGCTGAATGGGCTTGAGAGAGGGAATTTCCTTTTGCCCTGTTCTGATACCTGGAGATAGAACTGTATTTTAAAAGTAGCACAAATGGATACAATTATTTATGTGAGGTGGTAGGAATATCTTTAGGAGAGCATCTCAAATTCAGGGTGGAGTAGATGAAAACATAAAATCCTGCCTGGATGCCTTACATTTCTTTTTTTGTGGAACTCTCTGTCACATACAGAACTCCTCACTCGTAGAGTTCTTGGCAGTGGAAATAATTTGGGACTAGGTTGAGTCCTTAAATAGTTTCCCTTTTGCATGCCCCAACCTTTATTCTGAATGTTTACAAAAAAATACTGCCAAGGCTTTTTCTTCGGATCTTCATGTAACTGTATGTTATGTACCATGGAGTTATTTTTGAGCAATTAAGCCTCCCCATGCCAGGTTTTCTCATCCTCTACCAAAGCCATAAAGATGGGGCCTTGTGTCTGGCTTTTCAGGGAAAGCAGATGGCTCTTTGGGTACTGGCAGGAGACAGGTGTGAAGTTTCAGGGGCCGGAGGGCTTGTCTGGCATACTATGCAAATTTGGCTGCATTTTGCATCCCTCCTAGGAGCTACAACCAAATGGAGCTTGCTTCTACATCTCTCTCTCTCTGTCTCTGTCTCTCTCTCTCTCTCTCTCTCTCTCTCATGTGTGTGTGTGTGTGTGAGAGAGAGAGAGAGAGAGAGAGAGAGAGAGAGATTGACTGTTGTGTACATATGTGTACTGAGGTAGCAACAAAAGCTGTCATTTTATCCTGGTCTAAATTGTATAAAAAAAGATGAATGAATCCATCAGGGTCAGCTTTCTGGGAGGACAGTGTGTAATTCTCTTTTTAACTTGATCAACATCTGAGTCTGCTTCTTGTCTCCAGATGCTGAGACCTCAGAGTGGCTGGCTTAGTGGCTGACAGTCACCAGGAGGCTCAGCAGAGGAGTGCTGATGAATTCTTCTTACACGTAGACCATAGGTTAGTGATAGTTGCAGTTGGAGATTTGCATTAATTGGTCTATCCTGGATTATGGCTACTGTCCTTTCCTTTAGAAGGGGCATTGTGTGAAGGTGACTACATGCCAAAGATTTTGTCAGAGGCATGTCTCAAGTTTAAATGCTTTTTTCTTAGATCTCCCAAAGTACTTATCAAACCATAATTTTTACATTTTAAAGAATATGTTTCCTGTAACTATCAGATTATTTATTTTGTCATGGAAACACCCTCTAGTCCCCAATAACCCAGAACCAAGAAGAACAAAACCTTATTTCTACTGACTTCCAGTTTCTGCCCCAGCTTCACCCAAGCCTAGTAACCCAGAGATTTCGGGCTGGAGGAGAATTTGAATGTAACTAACTAGTAATATATTCTATATTTCCTTCCTCTTTAAAGAGTAGATTGGCTACACCACTACTGATTCTTGTCTCTAATGATTAATTTTTACTTGCTTTCACCAGAATGCCCTTAAGTGCCAAAGATGGGTTACCAGTGGCTCCCAACAAGTTAACACATGTTACCATTTGGGTTGGATAAGGGAGCCTGTGTGGCTTAGTGGAAACCCATCCCTGTGGTTTGGTCAATACCATATGTTCATAATGAAAAGGACTACACATTCCTGAGGAAGCAACACACCCTCCTTGGGGGGCTTTCAGGGAAGTAGGAGAGTACGCATTACCAATGAGAGGAGATATACCGTACTTGCTGGACTGGAGCCATCTAGGGACCTGAGTGTTATTAGCCAGAAGGCTCTGCACAGACTGGCCTGTTGGTCCTCTCACTGGGGGCTGATGCAACCGCAGCAATGCATATCTGTGGCTCACCTGCCAGTATTCAGTGTCTACTCTAGTATTTGGCATTGAAGGCCCTTAGAAATATCTGCACAAACACCGAGTTCTAGGCTTTCCGATAGAGTGTAGACCACGGAGGTGGCAAAGGCTTTCACTACCTTTTAGGATAGAATTAGATGAGAACCCAGGTCCCAAGAAAGCCAACAGAGACCTGAGCAGATCAAACGACTCTTTAGCAGCCTCAGTGGCAATGCTGTAGGCATGTCTAGGTGAAATTTCTTGCCTTAGTGTTCATAGCAAACACACTCGGATCCCCAAATCCTTTGGCAATGTTGCTTCCCGTTATCCTCACTTTTTTGCTCTCTGTTTAAGCCATGTGGAAGTATTTCCCATTCCTGACTTGTCCTGAGAGTCCCCCTATTTCTATAAAATGCTGCTCCCACCTTGATACAACTTCTTATTAAAGTCCCTGTATTTAGATTTGATACCAAGACTGGGAGCAGGGACTGGCACTGGGAATCAAATTTGAAAGTAAATATTAAGGAGTATAAAATGATGTTGGTTAAAAAAAAAAAAAAAAGGTGCTACCACATCATTTCATCCAGGCACTGTTTGAGGCATTTGATGTACATGTTTTCATTTCATATCTTGAGTTGTCACAATTACTGAGTGAGTTGGCATCATTTCATGGAATGCTTTAGTGGACCAGGATCTCCCTCAGTTCCCAAACAGACAGGAACCTGAACCCCTATACTCTGCTTTTGGCTTTCTGATTGGCTTTTGCTGCTCTTGAGAAAGCATACTAGTCTTGTCCAAGTTCTTCCCTGGAGTAGAGGATTGTGCCAATGACCTAGAGACCTAGGTAAGTGCCCCATGGTGGCCCTCATGCCATCCTTCCAGCCCCGGCCTAACTCACATATACTTCCACCAGGGGTGCTGATCCCCTCCAGGTGGAATTAATCTCTCCCTTCCCTTAATCCCAAAGCATCTTTATATTAGGACTTTTTACTGCCTCCCTAACTTTTTTTTTTTTGAGACAGAGCCTCGCTCTGTCACCCAGGCTGGAGTGCAGTGGGGTAACCTCGGCTCACTGCAACCTCTACCTCTTGTGCTCAAGTGATCCCCCTACTTCAGCCTCTCATGTCACTGGGATTACAGGCACCCACCATCACACCCAGCTATTTTTTGTATTTTCGGGAGAGACAGGGTTTCAACATGTTGGCCAGGCTTGTCTTGGACTCCTGACCTCAAGTGATCTCTGCCTGCCTCGGCCTCCCAAAATGCTGGGATTACAGGCATGAGCCACCATGCCCAGCCCCTCCCTAACTTCTATATGGATTTATGGGATCCACTTGACAGAGCTCTATGCAGGCAGAAGTCATGTTCATTCACGTTTGCATCCCCAGAGCATTGCTGGATGCATAGGAAGCCCTAATAGATGACTTCAATTTAACTGATCTGTACAGATGGCTGAGAAAGACCCAGGTCACAGCACTGTGATAGATGTTTGAGCTTGTGTCTGTGTGTATGTGTAAGAGAGAGGCCCCAACTGGAAGATGGATTTGGAGTGAGGCTTTATGGAAGTAAAACCAACTGCAACTGGGCTTTTGTGTATAGAGAAAACAATTCCCCATTGAAATATATGCCTTTCCTTGGCACTGCTATCACCCTCCTTCTAGAGGCCTCAGTGTAAGTCACTCTTAGCATAGCAACTTCTTGGAATCTACCACAGTAAGGTCATGGCTGGAGATGTAGCTGATGCTGCTCCTGCCATCCCTCCTCCCTCCGCGGCCCTCTCGACAGTCCTTCTTCCCTCCATTCCTGTGCCGCAATCCCTATCAACCCTATCAACCACCCTCTTCTCTGTGTGGAGTTTCCCCAAAGGCTCTTGGAGTAGCAGTACTGTGGCGTCCTCAGGACTTTAGATTCAGAAGTGAGGTGCCTCCCTTGAGCAGTAACCACTCCATATGCTTCTGTCTGATGAGCTCTGGGGGAGCCTGTGTGGCTGTGATAGTGCAAGTGGGCCAGGATCTGGTCTCTGTGGGACGTTCCCTCTTCCCTTGGGCACAACTGTCATTCATTCAACATCTTGAAAATCACATATATTTATTGCAAACTTCCATATCAAGCACTGTGCTAAAATCTGGAGTAACAGAGCTGAGTAAGACATGGTCCTCGTTCTGGAGGAACCTTCAGGAGGACAGAGATGCATAAGCAAGTAACTGTGAAACAATTTATTAAGTACAATAGTCAAAGTGCGAATCAATAGCACAAAGGAGGAAGGAGAGACTGTGCAGAGAATGTATACTTGGTGCCTGAACCCCAGATAAATGTGTGGCACATCCACAAATGGAATGGTATTGATATGGAGTTAAGATGAGGAAAAGCATGTTGGCAGCACAAAAATAGTTTCTCCACAGAAATGTCAACTGGAGAGCTGAAAAGTGCTGGGGACTGAGTGGCTGAGTCAGGCAGCAGGGGTGAGCAGGCCGAGCCCTAGATGTGGAATCCGAGGGCCTGGGTTTGAACCCAACTTACTGCATACCAGTTGTATAGCCTTGCATAAGTCTCTTATATTTTCAGAACTTCAGTCTCCACTTTCAGAAACTGTGGACAATAATACCCTATGTACTGTGTTGATACGGGGGCAAAATTAGGTTATGGATGTAAATGTACTCTGGAATCTATAAAGTGATATGCACATGTTAGGTATTATTTTTATATTGTGGGAAGGGAGAGCAAAGAAGAAAGCTAGGAAGTTAAAAACAGGTAGGTCCTACACAGTGGGGAATGGTGGGGACAAGTGGGAGGGGTTTGTGATTAATGTGGACGCTGAAATTTCACAGTTGTAATGGGCCAGTGGAGAGCTCAGCAGCACACATACACATCAGCCCCGACTAGGCTGGAGAGCTCAGAGTTTCCATGCTCTAAAGTTGGCAGTATGGCTGTTGACAGTTTAAAAAATGGTTGCTTAGCTTGGAGATTGAATGGCTGTTGAAAAGTAAAGTATCATTTGATTTTTATTGTCAGAAAGACTTAGACCAGGAGAAATTTTCTGTAAAACACGTGTGCAATTTGGGGACAGTTTGTCATCATTGTGGCTTCTGGTTTTTACATGTTTTGCTCTTGTCATATTGATGTACAAATTCAAGGTTAGTGCTGACATTCAGAAGAAAGCAAGGCATAATTGTGTGTCATGCTCTTTATTAGACTTGTTCCCTGATGGAACTGAGAGCTTATTGCTATTGATTTAAATGTGTTCAGGTATTATTGATAACAGGGAATGAAGATGCATTCAGGGGCTTCACTTCCTCGTAGGGTCCATGTTCCCCTAGAAGGGCCTCTGTGAGCCATGTAGGGTGCCTGTGGGGGCTGTTGCCAGGCAGGGGAGGCTGGTATCCAAGTAGAACTAGGTGACACGCAGCCCCAGGAGACCAGAGAGAGAGTGGGAAGGAGAGCCTGAAGTGGGAAGTAGAGCCTGAATTGCCAGCAAGTAAAGAAGCAAACTGGAAAAAAAAAAAAAAACAGAAGAAACAAATGGAAGGGTTATGGGCATCTTAAATCCATAATGGGACATGAACTAGGAGGTAAAAAACTGGAAGGACTCACTTCAAATTGTGGTGCAGAGTGTGACACATGCAAAGAAAATAGATCCAAGTGGACTAAGCACCAAGGCTGTGACAAATACAAGAGGCATGGGGGTCTGCTCTGTACATGTTGGGGTGGACCTGACCACCTAGGACACAGGTAGGGGTGGATAGGCAGGTTCTAGAGAGTATTTGAAATTCCTCCATTAGAAGTGTGTGTTCCTTTCCTTTATCATGCATTCAGCCAACATTTCTTGAACGATTATTATGTGGCAGACATTAGCCTAGACATTCGAGATTTATCAGTGATGAAATAACTCAAAAATCCTTGCTCTCATAGGTTTACTTTCTAGCAGGGTGTGAAGACAAAGGAAAACAAACAGTTAACCTAATAAACAAGTAAATTATACATTATGTTATAAAATGCAAAGCACTGTGGAAGAAAAAACAAGTAAAGGGCAAAGGGGTTTTGGGGAGAGCATGAGGGCAGGTTGTATTTTCATTTGGTGCTTGGGGAAGGAGGAGACCTCCGTGAAAGGTAGTATTGGAGCAAAGACCTGATATAATCAGGGAGTGAGCTGAGATTTCTGAAGAAATATTATTCTAGTCAAAAAGAATAGCCAGGCAAAATACCCTAAGATGGAAGATGCAGTAAGAAGGCCATCTGGGTCAGAGTGGGGTGAATGGAGGACAAGGGAGCCACCAGGCAGAAATGGGATCAGAGAGGTGGGGGTGGCAAATTGCAAAGTGTCCTGTAGGACATTGTAATGGGGACTTTGGCTTTTCCTCTGAGGCTATGCATTGCCTGGTTTGAGCATCCTTTCTTTCTTTAAAAAAATATTTTCATAGCCTGGTTTTTAATGGTTAAGCTTCCTTTCTTAAATGCAAATTCCCCTTGGACAAAAACACACCTTTTGTCACGAATATAATAGCTAATTGTGAAAGCATTAATCACAGAACATCTGTTGTTGTTGATAGGATAAAAATAGACTATTCAGGGCTTCCTGCCTGTGCTAAAATGCTGAAGAAGACATAGAACGGCAACCCTGGGGTAGCCAAACTTACATGCATCTAACTGTTCTGCAATTCTGTGTCAGGGACGATAGGGTTGAAGCTATGTTTAAATCTCTTTTCATGACTGATCGGCTATGGCAGGATCCTGAATGATAGACTATTACCTGGGCTGTCCTCTTGTAGATGTTGTCTTCTCTCCTCTCCCTCTCAGCTAGGGCAGTCTCAGATGCCTTCTGGGAGGAAAGGAAGAGGAGAGAAGGAGCACCTCTCTGAGAAAGGAATGGTGTCCAACCTCTGCCAGTCCCAGGAGTGGAGCAGGTCGGCACCATTTGTCTCTTCCTCTGCTGGAGGTGAGCTCTGTCTACACAGCAGGAGAGCAGAGACAAAGACAAATAAAGGCATTTGGGTCTGCTGTTTGCTTTCAAGGAATTGTGTTTGGTAGCTTGTCAGGAAATGATTTCCTATAAGGGTTGATCCAGGAAGACACAAAGTCAACTTGGGTTGTAATTGGAGACTCCCTGCAGAGAGATCTGGAAGCCTGAAAGAGGGTGGCAATTGAATCCCTAGGCATTGTTGGTTGGACAACTCATTCTTTCCCAAGTCTGAGAAAATGTTTTTCTTTTCAAAGAATGTGCTGGAAGTCTCTAGCTTTGCTCGTCTAATGTTGTTTTAAAGACAGAAAGCATCAACTACATCTGGATCTCTAAGAAAGTCCTGGGAAATAAAATGAGATCCTCCAAGTCAAGGTTAAGGGTTCCAAGTTGAGCCAAGAGTTTTCTTAGCAAATCACCTTGTTCATCTCCCTGTGACCAGGCAGGACTGAACCCCTCCCAGGCAGGAGAGTGATAGGGGTGTGTGTGTGTGTGTGTGTGTGTGTGTGTGTGTGTGTGTGTATTACAGTCATCTACCAAACTTCCATGGGCTCCCTCACTGATAAGCCTTTCTTATATCCAAACAAAATTTTTCTTGGTTCCAACTCCGAATAAGCAGTTTCTATTGAAATAAATGCAAAGCAGTAGCTTCGACATTCCTTCAGAAGAACCTGGCTTCATTCTATGGAGTTGAGATAGACACCGTTATTTGAGATGCCCCTGACCCCATGTGTTTCCTCTGTGACCTATTACAGTGCCCCAAATAGCATTACAAGCAATTCATTTCTTTGCTCATTGAAGCCTCGTTAAGAGACAGGCTATTAAAATGTAAATATCTCCGGGGTAGAGAGCTTCAGGTAATGCTTTTTGGCTCTGTTATGACAGCTAGTTGAGGTTGAAGAGATTCTTTAGGGATAAAGGATTTAAAATTATATAGACCTGGTTTGAACCTTGGCTCCACCGTTTAAGAGCTGTGCTATCTTGGCAACTTCTTTAACATCTCTGTTTTCTCTTTTGAATAATTGGGAAAATAATAGCAGTTTTCAGTTTTGCCTGAGGATTAAATAAGAAAATGAGTATAACGCATTTTATCCAGGACTTGGCACATAATAAATATCGATAAATGTGTATGGTTTTGGTTGTTAAGGGGTCTGGGATGAAATCTAGGATGTCTGGAGGAAAGAGTACTGAAAAGTACTGCCAGCAATACAAAAACGCCCAAGGGAAAGAGACCTCAAATAATCTTTATTACACTTTCTTGGCTGGCCCTACCCACTTTCCTCTGCTGGAAGTTGTACACAGGAAAATAAACTAGCAGAGAAGGATATATTCATGATTGTTTCCTCCAAGCGTCTCAACAACTTTTCCCCTGATCATTTTCATTTTTTCCTTTCTCCCCACTTTATCATGAATTTCTTTACCTGCAATCCAGGGTGCACTAAAGAGATAAACTTGGCTTTCAGCATCAGGCTCCCATCATGTGGGCAGTGGGGCAACCAGATGCCATTCTGAGTGCTGCATCAGAGCGGGTGAGACTCGGGCATCATGGCCCTGGCACAGCCCAGACTCCGGCGTGCCAAGGCCCATGCTGCGTGTTCACGCCGCTTCCTCTTCTGAAGTCTGCTGTATCCACAGATTTAGGAACCAGCTTGATGGAAGGGAGTGGGCACTGGGGAGTTTTGGAGCATCAATCCTTCCAGGCCATCTGTAGCTAGCTTTATATAGTGCAGGGTAAAGGGACAGATCAGGATGGAATGGTTTGCTTTGTTTGACTTCAATGGGAGGGAGGGGGACAGAAGGAGTGGGAATGCTAAAATTGCCTGGGAGAGGGTGATGCCAATTTCCACCCCCCCACTTTTCTCCTCCACTATTTTGGAACAAAATTAACCTGTGGTTTATCTGGAGAGGAGAGCTGAGAGGCAGTCACATCTGGCTATCTGATGGTCACAAGACACAGAGGTGCTAGTGTGAACTTGTGGATTCCGAGACAATAGAAGAGGTTGCTATTATTGCTGAATAATAGGGAGAAAGATAAGCAGCAGGATGCTGTTGCTAGAGGTTATCAGTTCATCCTCTGTCTCCACAGGTGTGAAACATATCCAGATAGGTGGAGAAAGCTTGGGAGGAGATCTCTCTTACTCATGTACTGTAGGAAAAGGAGGCATGCTGTAGGGATGCCTTTCAATGTGGTAGATTTGCTTTTTAGTCTCAGGGCTACCTAATCTCGGCTCGATAAATGAAAGTGTTAATTCTTGCCACACAGGAGATAACTACTCTGCCACTTTGGGCGAAAGATAGCCCAAGAGAAAGAGTTTCAGAAACATGTTTGAGATCGCATAGATAGAACTGAGCTTTACGCTCATCCTCAAAACTCTGCTTCTATGCTTCCTTTTCTGTGTGGTTTTCTCCACCACTGACAGTATTAATCACTCTCTCCCCCTTCTGTAGGACTGGCTGCACGCTTTTGTCATTGCACATAGTACTCTGGTTTCTGCCTGTTTCTAAATATGCCTTCCCTACTAGACTGTGAGATTTTTGAGCACATGGTTTATCTTATTCATCTTTATCTCTTCTGTGTCCAGTTCTGTCACTGAAGGAAGGCAAGTGGTCCTCACCCACGACTTCAGAGTTGAGTCCAGGGCAGAGGCAGCTTCTGTCAAAGTTAGGAGCAGCTTGTGCTAATGACATCTCCATCCTTTGGGATCTTTCTCCCAACAGATATTAAATCAGGATGGTTATTGGTAAATGATTCAGTGGTGGCTCCTCTGGGGGATTTTTCTGAAGTTGGAGGGTCCTCCTGGTGTCTACAATAGAGCCCTCAGTAAGACTCAGCTTGGAAGGAAGCCAACCTAAACTGGAAAACTTCAAAGTCTAATCTATTCTCCAAGGTGATTAGTTCATTCTTGTAACCTTCCAAACCTACTATGAGAAGCAGAAGGGCATCACGTTAAAACTTCATGGAAAGGGTTCCTACTCTCTGTCATTATTTCTAGGAAATATGTCACTTTTCTCTGGAAGATTGCTTTTCTAACATTGCTCTTCTTCTCAGAAAGATTAGCAAAACTCTAAGCCCTGGTGTGTGCCTCCTGTTTTAACAGGCTTCCAAAGGAGACAGTCACACTCAAAGTGCAGCTCCAATATCTGTGGAGGTATTCAGTTTCTAAGTCAATAGAGGTAAAACTATTTTCTCTTTTCCAAAACATACCCTTCTGGGACCATCAACTTCTGTGCCTGCTTGGAAAGAAACTTGGGATTCTGTCCAGGAAGAATAAATTCTATCAGCTTGCAATGAGTCCTCTTAGGGCCTTTTGGTATGAACTTCATTGGCTTTCTATTTCCAAAACTATCCTTTCTATTGGATGCTTGGTCAGTGTGGAATAAGAAGTAGGTGTTAGTATGAGGAGGTTATGTTCATATCTTAGTGCTTTTGCTAACTGGCCTTGGGTAAAGCCCCTTCATTTCTCTGAACCTCAGTTTCTCTTTCTTTCTTTCTTTCTTTCTTTCTTTCTTTCTTTCTTTCTTTCTTTCTTTCTTTCTTCCTTCCTTTCTTTCTTTCGGAGTTATCTTGTCACCCTGGCTGGAGTGCAATGGCACAATTGGCTCACTGCAATCTCCGCCTCCCAGGTTCAAGTGGTTCTCGTGCCTCAGCCTCCTAAGTAGCTGGGACTACAGGCACCCACCACCATGCCCGGCTACTTTTTTGTAGTTTTAGTAGAGACAGGGACCATGTTTGCCAGTCTGGTCTCGAACTCCTGACCTCAGGTGATCCGCCTGCCTCAGCCTCCCAAAGTGCTGGGATTACAGGTGTGAGCCACTGTACCCAGCCCAGTTTCTTTATCTACAAAACAGGAAGAGTAAGTGCTAAAGCCATTTGCTATCACCACTTGCAGAGCTTTGGGGATTAAATTAGGTGCTTCCCATAAAACTGGTCAGTGCTCTAACAGAGAGGAGACATTTAGTAAATGTTGCTTGGGAGGCAGTGTGCTGTAGTGTACTGTGCATGGGTTTTTAATTCAGTTCATTATTTTCCTTGCCTGTAAAATGGGGATAATAATACATATATCTAAGGATTGGTGAGAGGATTAACTGTGGCAGTAGATGCCTTCAACAAGTATTTATTTTCAAGTACGGTCCCAATTGTACCCATCATTTGAACTCAAATTCCACTAACTCTTTAGATTATAATTCACTTTATTGTATACAGAATATCCACCACTTTGACTGTTTAGGATTGATGGTCAAAAATCTGCAGGGCATTCAATTGGGTTCCTCCTGCATTCTTTTAGAAAGCACTTTTGCTTAGAACCACTATTCTTCTCTAAGTCTAAATTCATAGACTTTATGAATCACAGAAACCTCCAACTCTAATGCCTACAAGGGCCAGGCAGATAACACATAACATAAATGTGTGGATTGGCCCAAGCACAAGACATTAGGGAACAGTGGGGCCTATGGTAGACTGAAGAGTGTCTGTCCATTTAAAGGCTTTCAAATTCAAAATTTTAAAAAGCTAATAAAATACTCTGTAAGATAGATGAGCTAATTTGGCTCAAAGGATGCGAATTTGAGACCTAAGTTTCTCACTCTTAGTCATTTGTGTCAACACTATCGGTGGATAGGATACAGAGTGATGGGTACTTCCATACTCTGCTGGCAGGCATGCAATTTGGTACAACCATTCTAGGAAACAGTTTGACATTATTTTAAAAGTTAAGCATTCACTCTTTCTGTCCCTTAGCAATTGCACTGTTAAGTTAAAACCCAAGAGATACTCCTTCTCATATCTACCAGGATGCATATACAAGAATGTTCACAGCAGCACTGTTCAATAGCAAAAAAATGCAACAACTCAAGTACCCAGTGAGGGAGAAGTAAGTGAGTAAACAGTCAGTTGGTAATATTATGATATTACCTAGCATGTAAATCAAATAACATTATGGATGAAACTTAGCAATAAACTACTTTTTTCAAAAAGTAAGGCCCAATTATCTCATGTTGCATTATGCCCATTTCATAAAGTTAAAAAACTGAAATAAAAAATATGCTTTTAAGAAACATATATGCCAGGTGTGGTGGCTCACGCCTGTAATCCCAGCACTTTGGGAGGCCAAGGCGGGCAGATCACGAGGTCAGGAGATCGAGACCATCCTGGCTAACAGGTTGAAACCTCGTCTCTACTAAAAATACAAAAAAAATTAGCCGAGCGTGGTGGCGGGCACCTGTAGTCCCAGCTGCTCAGGAGCCTGAGGCGGAAGAATGGCGTGAACCCAGGAGGTGGAGCTTGCAGTGAGCCGAGATAGCGCCACTGCACTCCAGACTGGGCGACAGAGTGAGACTCCACCTCAAAAAAAAAAAAAAAAAAAAAAAAGAACATATAAAGGAAATAAAATGGGTTCCTTCAGCATGGTATTATGGGACGTGAGATGAAGTAGATGGAATCCGAGAAGATCACAACATACATAGGCACAAGTTTTTGTCAAACTTTCCATTTTTATATTGTTTGTGGGTATATTATTGCTTATTACATCATTTAAATATTAAAAAAAAAGATAAAATACTCTTCATACTTTCCCGCATTTTGTGAGAAACAAATAAGCCATGCTAAAGTGTTTTGTAAACTCTAACATGCAAATTAAGTGTTAGGGTATTGTTACGAAAGGATTACGGACACTGATAGATTGTTGTTAAATTCCTGGGGTGCAGGCTTGTGAGCCATCTGTTTGGTGGATTGTATGTCTATGGTCAGACATAGACTAGACTCATTTCTTTCAACTTCTTGCCATTTTCTCCCCTTCACTCTTTTTGTTGGTAAGAGTGCTTTCTTGGAACAGGCACGTATACAGTATCAGCAAAAATAAAGTTTAAATTATAGGAGTAAACCTCACACATAATTGCACATGCCCCTTGCGTCCTCATACGCATATTCATACCTATGCCACATCCAAGGCCAGCTAGAAATGACTTTTGGATCATCTGTTAATTTGGGTTATTGATGCCACTCTTTTTCTCTGATAAATCAGGTGATAATCACAGTCAGAGTAATTACACAACTGGTTGTAATCCTGTTTTTTCCTAGGTTTTAATAAAATAGGCATGCAAATCGTTATGTATACAAAATTATTAAAGAT
This sequence comes from Homo sapiens, assembly GCF_000001405.40. NCBI lineage: Eukaryota > Metazoa > Chordata > Mammalia > Primates > Hominidae > Homo > Homo sapiens. The sequence goes on from NC_000001.11 coordinate 208,284,924, forward strand.
AAATGGGACCTACATTAGGTGAGGGAGAGGCATTTGTTAGCTCTATTAGATACCGAGCAGGCTGTGTACTAAGGGCTGGGGATACAGACATGACCATTTCCAGCCTCTGCCCAAGGGGCGCTCACGGGCAGCCTGGCAGATGGTTAATGTAAAAGGTGGTGAAATGTCCTGGTTAGAGGGTGTCCTTGGAGAGCACTGATAGGAGACCCTCTTTCAGATTGAAGGTGAGGGAAGGCACCCTGGAGGAGGTAATATCTGAACTAGGGAGGAATTGAAGTTGAAAGTTGAAAGGGATGGATTGGCACTGTGTAGCATTTTTAGCACCTCAGAGAAAAGAGAAAGAGAGAGTATGGCTACTGGGGACAAGTGGGCAACTTCTTACGGGTGGAGCATGGAGTGTGTGTTGGGGTGGGCAGGGATCAAAGCTGGGGAGGGAGGCAGGTGCCTGCAGATGAATGGCCTTATTACTAGGCCTTTGGATTTCATCCTGAAGTCAATGAGGAGTAGCTTAAAGATTTGACCAGAGGAGTGACATGAGCAGACTTGAGTTTTAGAAAAAGCACTATGGGATCAGTACTGAATTTGAGGAGAAGGGACCAGAGGCAGGAAGACCAGCTAGGGGCTGCTTTCCCTACTCCTGCCAAAACATTGTTGCTGCTTTGGGTCAGGCAAGGGAGTTAACCAGAAGATTCTGTGGGGAGTCACTTTTGCCTCTCCTTGTTTAAAAAAATAACTTAAGAGCCTGCCTGAGCAGCTGGGAGTCGCACAGTGGAGTTCTGTTTCACGCCTTTCTAGTGCATACAACCTTGGACAAGTTCTATGTCTTTGGACCTCAATTTTCTATTAATAGGGACAGGCATTTGCGATGCTGCTTGTGTCTTCTGGAATGAGTTAAGATGGAGGTTGCTCCTGAAGACCTCTGAGTTTGCTAAATAATGGACTCACCTACATGTCATTTATCATTCACATTTTGAAGAAACATTCACAACTGTACTAAGGAAGGGCAGACTTCTCGGCAGTCTTCAGCTCCCTAAGCCAGGCCATGAAGTCTCAATTCTCTTCCTGCCTCCCCCAACAGCCTCCACTCCTGGCTCTGAGAAATGTGGACCCCTAGTGCTTTGTGAAGTTGTGTCTCTTCTTTTTTAATGAGGCTAATGGTTAATTAATGAATCTTTGGCTTTATTAAGTAAAACAAACTTGGGAAGAGATTATTCTGCTCCTGAGTCTCTGGAATATTGATTGGGGGACCAGGGCTAGAGTAAGCCCTTTAGGTAGCTTTTGATGCTTGAACAAAACCCATCAATGGTAATCTTTTGCCCAAATGGGTTTTTGATGTTGTTTTCATTTAAGGTGGCTGTGGCATCCACAAGTTTTCCTAGTCAAAGGGGACCTCCTGGTCACATCATTCAAGCCCACCAGCTGTGAGAGTAGCCATGGAAACCAGACACCTCAGGGTGCTTCCTCAAACTATAGTATGTGGGACCAATTTCTATCTCTTTGAGGTAGTTTAGACAAAGTTTCCATAGAGTCAGGAGAACAGACATCCTGATAGCCTAAGGATCCTTGAATTGAATTCTTTGGAGCCAAAATAATAGGGCGATTGGCACAGAAGATTGGTTTTCAGAGAAAACATATCTAATATTTATGGAGCAATAACCAAGCACCAGGCACTATTCTAAGTAACTTACTTGTATTAAGCTATTCATTCCTCATAATAACCCTATAATGATCTGCACGTTACAAATTAGGAAATTAAGATACAGAGAAGGTAAGTAACTTGTCCAGGGCCACTCACCTGGGACACAGCAGAGCTGTTGTATAAACCCAGTGTCCATCCTGCATTCTCCATCAGGTGTGGTACTGCCTCCTGCATAGAATTGTAGGCCCCGGAGCTTGAAAGGACCTCTTGGTCATTTGGGCCAGCCCCAGTCTCCAGGTAACTAAGATTTTATTACATGTTTTTCCTTTCCATCTTTCCTTACAAAACAGTGAAGTCCCAAGGGGTTAAGTAATTGTCAAAACATGGAGATTTTAAAGGCTTGAGGGGAAGGAGCCCCTGTCTGAAGGGTCAGAGGGGCACCCCTCCTTCTTCCTGGCTCTCTCCCTTTTATCACAGGCCAAACCAAATGCACCCTTCCATTCTCTCCTCAGTGATGTTGTTGTTTTTTTTTCTCCCATCTAAGGTTCTACTCCATTTTCCCTGGTTTCCCACTGCAGATCACTAAAGCCTAGCTCTGGGTTTATATATATATTTTTTAAAGAAAGGTTTTAAAAGACCTACATCTCCCCATACCTAGGCTAATTGGCTTTGACTAGGGCATAGAGGGGCAGCATTTCCACAGATTTCCTCTGGCCCAGGACCTGACCTCTGTGAAGCAGTAACCCGGCTTCAACATGCCAGGGTCTAGCCGGAGGGGGCTGCTCGGAGAGGGGGCTTGTGGTACTAGGGGTGAGGTGAGCTGGGGTTATAGAATAATGTTTTGGTCAAAACTTTTTTTTTTACCACTTCCCCACTTGCAAATTTATACTGCAGATCAACAAAAGTTCAACTCTCTAGGATTTGGATGTATTTATTTTCTTACTGTTAATCCAGTATTGCCAAATAGTACCCTTTCTAACTAATGACCATAGCAAGCCTGCCTCTGCTATCTGTCTTTCCCGGCTGTAACCTCAGCTTCCCTGTGCAGACATGTGCACACACACACAGAGCATGCTCATCTCCATTTTTTTTTTTTTTTGAGACAGGATATCACTCTGTCATCCAGGCTGGAGTGCAGTGGTACAATCTTGGCTAACTGTAACCTCTGCCTCCTAGGATCAAGCAATCCTCCCACCTCAGCCTCCCAAGTAGCTAGGACTACAGGCATGTGCCACCATGCCCATATACTTTTTGTGTTTTCAGTAGAGACAGGATTTCACCATGTTTCCCAGGCTGGTCTTGAACTCCTGAGCTCAGGTGATCCACCTGCCTTAGCCTCCCAAAGAACTGGGATTACAGGCATGAGCCACCACACCTGGCTTGTTTATCCTGATTTTCTTGCCCATTCCTCATTGATGGGATGAGCTCAATCTAAGATGACTGGCATGGCCATCTTCCAGTGTTCCATCCTCAACACTATGCATCGTTGGATTCCTGTAGGTTTTACTCTCTTGTTGAAGCAAGCCAAAAAGTTGATTATGCTAGGAGGCTGCAGGTCCAGGTAGTAGATCGTTCAGGCCTTTGGCTTCCTCTCCTCCCTCCTGGGGTTTACCTTTGGGCATGGTCATCTGCAGGAGAGAGGAGTGGGAGAAGCTCAGACTGGTCACTTGTGCTTCATACATGGGGACATCTCTATTGTATGCAGCTGAACTGGATTTACAAAGGAGAGCTTCAAGTACAGAAAAATTATGGTATAAAGGTACACATATGCCCTTGTACTCATCCCCATACCTAATCCAGCAGCAAGACCTATCAGTTCCACTTCCAGAATAGTTCTTCAATCCCTCCACTTTTTTCATGCCCCCTGCCTCCACCTTAATCCAAGTCACCATCATCTCCCACTTGGACAACTTCAATAGTCTTCTAATTGGTCTCCTTGCCACTGTTCTGGATCCCTACAATTTATTCTCTACACTGCAGCAGAGGGATCTTTTTCACAAAGCAAATCAAACCACTCCTCTGCTTAAAATGCTTTGCTTGCTCTTAGAATAAAGCCTACCTCTTCAGCATGGCTCAAAAAGCCCCGTGTGAAATGGTCCTGCCCTGGCCTCTTCTCTGACACATCTCATCCCACAGGCTCCCCAATCACACATCAACCATAGTGGCTTCCTGTTGGGTCTTCAGACAGGCCACACTTGCTCCCATTTCAGAGGCCTTTGTACTTGCTCTTCGCTCTTTCTGGCACTGTCTTCCCCCGCTTGGTACGTGGATTCCTTTTCATCCTTCAGGTCTCAGATCCAAAGTTGTCTCATAATAGAGCTTGATCCTCCCCACCATATTTAAGTGTGCGCCCTCCCTGCCACTCTGTATCAAATCATCCTGTGTGTGCCCTTTATAACGTGTATCACCATCAAAAACTGTTGTGCCTAATTATTATTTTATCTATAGTTAACAGGCTCGTTAATTATTTTCTGTAACCAGAAATAAGCTTGGTAAAGGCATGGTCAGTTTTTGTTTGGTTCTTGGTTCAATCCTTTGGGTCTGGAACTCAGTAGGCATTGACTAAATTTTTGTTGGATGAATGATTGAGCCACTTTGACTCTGGACAAGTTGAAGCTCTCAAATTTTGGATCATCCAATTCTATAAGCCAAAAGGTCGCTCATGGTCTAGGAAGACTTTTTATCTTAGGAAGTTCTATAGGGTCTGGAGATGCCCCACCCTGGTGTCTACCCTAACACCTCTGCCATCCCTCTCTGGCACCTTGCCATTTCCCTCACCTGGGGTCTTGATTTCCTGCTTGATAACACTCCTTGTGGAAAAAATGAATTCATTTCTGAGTCCGGTAATGAGCATGATTAATGTTATTCTCCTTTTAGTTCAGGACCTCAATTTAAATTCTTTCCTGTTCATCTCGATCAGGGAAGGTTTCTGGATCTGTGGTGAAACAAATCCCTGTGCTCACAAAGAGTCAATTATTCCCTGCACCTTGAGGTCTCTGAGCTACATAGAACACCTCCATGCAGTGCTCGGTCTGGGCCCACATGGGGGCACAGCCCATCCTGCACCATCAGCCACAGATGAGAGAGCTAGAATCTGCTTTCCACTGCCACTGCACATGGAAGCCAAATGGATTTTTTCTGTACCACAACTTGAGCTTAGGTTGTGGCCTTTTCTTCAACCTGTCCCTTATAGTCTGTTAGCAGACATAGCTGGTTCAGATATAAAACTAGGCTATAAATTATATGAGATTTAGAGAATGCACAGGAATGTCAGAGGACATTCCAGAGAGACGTGAGCTCAGAGATTAACCAGTTCAGTCCCCTGATTTACAGTAGTTTATATCTTAGTCCGAAGGCAGACTCCCTGGGTCTAAATCCCTTTAGTCTCTTTGAATCTTAGTTTCCTTATCTGTAAAATGGGAATGATAGTAGTAATTATCTCATAAGCTTGTCATGAGGATTATGACTTAGAGTCAGCTCTTAACATTTTTAGTTATTACTGCCATGGCTGTAGGAGAGGAAACAGACTGAAAAGTCACCATAAGTCATTCTATAGATTGGGGGCATGACCGTTAGAGTGTAAGTTCCATTACAGCAGAAAAAAAAATTGTCTTTTTATTTCTTCGCCTCAGCTCCCACATCTAAAAAATGGGTACAAAAGCACTACTCACCTCAATAGACCCTTCTGATATTTAATGTATCCAATAAATTTAAGAGTAAATATGGGCAGTACTTATTACAAATTAACTGCTCGATATGTTATCATTAACATTATTATTGTTATATCATTTTTGTTATCTTATTATTATTTTAAATTCTCCAGAACTTAGCACAGGGTGTATAATCAGGTAGGTACTCAATAAATTTGTAATGAATGAATAAATGAATTGGAAGGAGAAGCCAGATCTCCTGATTCCTAATTCCACAGTCTCTCCTCCAGATCACACTGCCTCAGGCCTTCCAAAATGATGTTTTTCCCAAAGTCAAGTTAGCTTGACTCGAGTTTAAAATATTAACTAGCCACCCTACCTATTTTCCCTGCTCCCATCCTCTAGCTCAGAACCAAACCCTTGCCTTCGAGATGTATTGCTGTTGGTTTCTTTCTGGTGAGAAACTAAATTGGTGGCCATCTCCCTTATCAACTTGACTGCTATCCTCAGGCTTCTCCTAGGAAGTGGCATGTGTTCTCTAATCTCTGTGCATTTGGTCAGAAGCTCTTGGTTGATTCTGGTCTATAATTGTTAAGATTCCGATCTCATGTTGTCTTTTTTCTCCCTCCCTCTAGCTGACCCTGTACTAGCATGCTCTGTGCCCCATCTCTCCCAGAGGTCCTGCTAAAAGGAGGGTTTCTCCCTATCCAGGATATTTTAGCTAGCTCTGACGAAGCTCTAGCCTCCCCAGACACTCTCCTGGACCCTTACTTCTTCCTCTGTGTGTCTTTATTTCTCTAACCATGTACCTATTAGCTTCATATCTAACTCCGGGGCATCACTCAATCTTCTGACCCAAGCCTTTTCTCCCCACAAGCCTAAACGTCACTTTCTTCCCAAATTCACAAGAAGCCATGTGGAAAAAAAAAAAAGTAATCCCCATCTGGCTTTGGAAAATTTTCAGGGATTTTCACTTAAAATATTTAAATTACTTAAAATTCCATAATTCACAGTCACTTTGGGTAAGGAGATCCTTTCGCTGTTTGGTCCCTCCAGTCTTTCTTATCTTTTACTCTTGCTATTCGAGATGAGCTCTGAGGACCAGCAGCAATGACATCATCCAGTAGCTTGTGAAAGATGCAGAATCTCAGGCCCTACTCCAGATCTGCTGAACCAGGATCTTCATCCTAACAGGGCCTCAGCTGGGTCATATTATTAAAGTGTCCCAAGTGATGCTCCACCCCTGTTTCTCAAACTTCAGTGTGAATGAGATCCCCCTGGTTCTTGTTACAATGTAGATTACTGGAGTATGCACTTAGAGAGTTTGACTCAATAGGTCTGAGATCGATAGCACCCAGATGCTTGCCTTTTGTCACACAGTCTGCAGGTAACGCTGATCCAGCTGAGGAACACACTTTGAAAAACACTGCTCCAGTCTGTAAGTGTCCTTTATTTATCTAGCTTTTGGATGATGTGAGCAAAAAGTAGGCATTCAATAAATCTTCATTGAATTGAACTGAATTTCTCTTGTTTATTCCTCCTTTTTCCCGAAACTAAAAAACGGGATGTGAAGGTGGCTATTTTTGTACATTTTCTGGCTGCTAGTTGAGTGTATTAATCCTGTAGATCTCAATTAATGAACTAAACTACTGCAGCTCCCCGAGATCTTTATTAAACACCTATTTTGTGTGGTTTCAGTGTTGTGTTGAGTCTTTGTGTTTTCTGCAAGATAGATAATATCAAATAATCAACCAAATCCTTACCTTTTCTTCTCCAAAGCTTACCAGAAAGCTTAAGAGTATTGAAGAGTTTCTATTTCCAAATTCCTGCATGTGGCAGACAGGCTGTTGAGTAGCCCCTGTATTCCCTGCCTCCTGGTATTCACACTCTTTTGTGATTCCCCTAACCTCCAGTGTGGGCAGGACCCACAACTTGCTTCTAACCAATAGAATACAGCAAAATGGACGGGCTATTTTCTCTGGAACCACAGATCACATACTGCGATTGCATTATGTTATATAAGACTCTGTCTTGATGTCAGACTCTAGGATACTCTCTTTGCTGACTTGCTGAAATAAGTGCCCATGTTGGTGAAGCCCATGTGGCAAGGAATTGTGAGCAGCCTTTAAGAAGTATGGCTGAATGCCAGCACAAAGCAGCTGCAAGGAACTGAATGCTTCCAAAACCACTTGAACAGGGAGCAGATTCTTTCTCAGCTGAGGCTCCAGATGAGGACACAGCCTGGTCAACACCTTGACTGCAGCCTCATAAGACCGTCAGCAGAGGACCCAATTAGGTCATGCTCGGACTTTTGACCCACAGAAACTGTGAAGCAATAAATGTGTGTTGTTGTAAGCTTGTAAGTTTGTAGTCATTTGTTACACTGCCATAGAAAACTACTACTCCAGTAATGGCCATTAAGCTGACCCATAAGGAGACAGCTCAATCAGCTCTGGGTAAGAAGAAAATAGCAACTGATGAGAGTGAGGGTGCCTGGATTAGAGTGAACTGTATTCCGTTTGGCATTTCCATGGCAGTTCTCATGAGATGAATGAGATTGGAGTGGTTCAAATAAAGGTGACAGCTCCCTTCACTTCTTCGTTGACTATTTTATCAGTCCTTCCACATTGCCTCAGTTTCCCCACCTCTAACAGTAATCAAACTTGATTTTTCCACTTGGGTTAATAAAATGAAAGTGACAAGTGATGCATGGCAACATTTAATTAATATCTACAACTTATTTAGAGACTGGGTAAAAACTGCTATATAAGTGAAAAGTGGGTCTTTTTTTTTCAATTAATATTTTTTGCGTGGCACTCATCATTTCTCTAAGCCTGTCAGATGTTTTGGCTTTCTCTTGAAATCTGCTGATTCAGGCTTTCTTGGAAAACCAAACAAAAGGAGACACACAGAGATGTAAACACATTTCCCATCCAGCAAATAAAAGGGTTTAGAGCAAAGAGGTTATCTTTCTTAACCCTGTGAAGACCGCACAAGATGCAATCTCCCCTGACTGGGAATGCTAGACCTTTGTACCCATGTAAGTGTTTGAGAAGAATCTGGATCAATAATTCATCCTGAAATGCATCTTCTTTCTTGGTACTCCCTGTGCACATCTTTTTAAGAACTCTCCAGTCATGGTAGTATGTATGTTTAATTGGTTCCAAGATAAGAACTTGCTCACCTTCAAAGCAAGTGGCTTTTAGGAGTGAAGGTCAGATGGGGACCAGAGAGGAGCCTGTTTTTAGCTACACCTAGATTTTCCCGAATGAAAGGATGGGTGATGGATGAATTTTCTCCCTGGTAGGGCTGTGAAGCTATAGCCTGGCTTGACAAAGAATAAATTCAGAATCTGCTTTTCAAGTGGAAAAGGTTAAGTGGCTGAATAATGCCAAGCAAAAGGCTTTGTAATGGGTATGTTAGGCAGGAACATACTTGTACCTTTCCTGTCTTTTGTCACCATCTCCCAAGCTGATGAAGAAGGCAGTCTGAGTGGGTCCTTCCTTCCTCCCTCTTCAACCTGGAGGGTTTTGAGATAAGGAGAAGAGACAGTTTAAAATCCAAGCTTTCCAAAAATAGTTTTATAGGTCTCATAGTTACCTTAGGACTTCAGGGTGGTATTTTATATTATGAGTAAAATTTTATTACTACATGGACATAAAGAGGGAAATTAACTGGTAGATTGTGGGAAGGAGATATTGGGGAGAGTGAGCAACTGACACATTCATCCTCCCTCCCGCCTGCCTGAGAAATGTTTTTTGGTTGTGACTATCACTGACTTTTAGCCCAGTCTCTCCCTGTCCTCCATCCCAAGAGGCAAAGCAAGCTCAGTTCTCTGACAGCTCCCACCACTGCAAATGCACTCAGAACCCCGATCTGCTCTTTCAGTCACAAAGTTTCAATAGAACCAAATATAAAGGCAGTAAAAAGCAGCCACCCTTCACAAGCTCTGGGCAAATTTCTGCCTGTGTCACTGCTGGAGGCCTGCAAGGCTTCAGGGTGTCCTGAGCTCTGCTGTATGGCAAGGCTTTTGTAAGGTTGTGTGTGGGATGAAAGAGCAGGGGATGGCAGGAAAAGGGAGAAAGGTATGAGAATGTATCTCGATATGTAGCTTAATTTTGGCCACAAATGACAGGTCTCAGATAAGAAGGAACGATTGTAAGATATCATTGAATATATTTTTCCCCATTGTTCAGATTAGATAACTGAGTCTCACTTTCTCACCTTAATTCTTTCCCTGTAAGAATTTGCACTATGAAAAGTTTTGCAGTTTTCTCAAAGATTAACCTACAAACAAATATTTATTGAATATGAATTGCTTATGCCAAATTGGGCTGGGTGTTTTATTATAGAGAAGCATATGGTATGGTACAATCCCTGGAATTCATTCCTACCCTGAAGAAGCTGGTAGTTTTGGGGAATAAGTCTTACGTAAGGTAAATCAGGACAGTACAAGACAGAATAAGATGGAGAGTCCCATTTTCTCATTTTATTTTAGAGGCTTGAGGAAGGAAAGAGTAAGAATGCTGGCTTTGTTAGGGAATACTTGTGGAGAATGGAGGATGGGAAGACACAGCAGTTAATTCCAAACTTACACCCCAGCCTCCTCTGGAGCTACACGCTTCTTGTGGGGTAATTCCTCTTCATTATTCACCTTCTATATTTTGTCTTCGCTGCCTTCATTTCATAGCTGTGTACCAGACCAGCTTTCAAACACACTTTGATGGTTAGTTGCCAGAAATTTCAGGCAAGTTACTTCCTCTGGGAAGTTTTTCTCATCTGTAAAGCCAGGGAATTAACTGATCTCTAAGGTGCCTTCCAACTCCAACAGGCTTCAAGTCTCAAAACCAGAATGGATCAAGAAAAAGATGAGTGACCAGAATAACTCTAGAAAATATATATCTCAGCACTGAATTAGTCCTTTCCTTTTCCTCTTCCTTCTCCTTTCTCCCATCTTTCTCCCTCCTCTTCCTCTCCAGGGGGTATCAGTGACTTGAAACTTGGCTGGGCTTTGTAAGGTGGAGAGAGGTGTGGCTGAGTCTAGGGTTACAGAGCTCAACATTAAGGATCACAAGGCCTCTGTCTGAATTTGTTCAGCTCTGTCAGTAACTAGCTACGTTACCCTGGACAAGTGACTTAATGCCCCCATCTGGACCCTCCATCAGGGTCCCTTATAGAAATGAGGTGACCCTGCATTCTCCATTACTCAAAATCAATATCAGCCCCCTTTTCCACCAAACTGCAGAAAGTCAAGCTGTCTACCAGGTTCTCTTCTCCAAGGCTCTGTGTGTGTGTGTGTGTTGTGTGCGCGTGTGCACACGCGCATGCACACACGTGGTATGTCTCTAGGAATGTTTACATTTTCCACAAATCCATCTTGGTTGATCTTCATCATCTCTACCTCCACCTTGCTCTGGATGGCTGATCATCCTTACCTTCTTGTAACTATTTTTTTTTTCCAGACTGGTCTCTCTCATGCTGAAACATTGAATGAAACTAAGGTTTAAGGGTAACAGAAGAAAATTGTAACTGGGAATAGAATATTTAAAACAGGATACTAGATCACTTAGCTTCTATTATTTCTAAAACAAGACTCTTGTGGCTTGCTCTGTCCCTTTCTTCTCCTCTCTGTCTCCCCCCCTCGCCCTTATGTTAATGGGGCCATGCACCTCCCTATCACGTGAGTCCCTTCATTCATATTCTACGCTGAGGTTTCAAGGGGGAAACAAATTGACCACCCCATGACCCCCAAGGAAACATAGTAGTAGTTTCCGGAAATACAGTAAAGGCAGAGTTTGACATTATTTTGTAAAACAGGTTAAAATTTCTTTGTGACAAGCATCTCCCCATTGGCTTTTTCCCTATGCAGTAGAACTAAAAGTTTAATACGGTATCTACTCCCTATCAACAAGGATCTCTCAGCCCCAAATATGAATATGTAAATATCTAATTTTATCTAATATGAATAATTCCTTACAGCTTTGAAATATTAATTTCCTCTGCTTCTGACCATCAATCAATCAAAATATCAGGGTCCTTTCACAGGGCACCCCTTCATTTCATAGCTGTGTACCATCTTCAAGGGTTCTTTCCAGCTCTGACAGCCTACAAACTCTTGGCTTCTGTGAGGTTGTCCACTCGGAAGAGTCTCTCCTTTAGTCTCTTTTGAGGCGAGCTTCTTTTCCTAGGGTGTGTAGAAAAGTAACAGAGGATGCTTGCTGGTGAAACGCTACTGGTTACTCTGCCCAGGGTCAGCCTATATGGGATGCAAATATCCCAGCTGCCACTGGTGACCATCCATTCGTGGTCATGGAGGTGGGGTAGTCATTCAGAGGTCTTGGGTGCCATATTCCCCATCAGTTGCCTGCTTTCATTTTCTTCACATTTTTACCTATTCTGGGAGCAGTCAATCTTAGCTGTATTTGCAGCTCCAGCAGGGAGCCCATTTCCATTGAAGAGAGGACTCCTTTAATAAATCTAGCTCATTTGTGCAGGAGTAGTGCAGCCATTGATTAGAGGGCTGATTGGAGCTGTGACTTTCCTTAGGAAGAAAATTAAGAAAACAGATTAAAGCAAATGATGGGCGGCTTTGTCTTCTGGAGAAGGGGGTGGGGAGTGAGGCTTCCTATATTCTGTGTCTCACCTATGCTAATGCAAGGTTTGAAACATTCTGCAAGATGAATTAACTCCTTCAGGTCACCGTAGGGCTCTCCTATATGGCAGAGGATCACAGAATCTCTTAGCTCAAACGGACCTGGGTGGTCATTTGGCTCAAGTCCTTTATTTTATAGATGAGAAAACTGGCTCAAAGAAAGATACTGACAGGACTGTGGCCATGCAGGCCTTCTGCATGACCTCTAGGCTACAGCAAGTCACTGTTGCTGATGCAGGAACATCTAAAATAAAGTCAGATTGGGTCTAAAGGAAAATTTTTGAATGGTGGCTCCTCTATATGGGACAACAACTCTCTTGAAAACTGCTATTGCCCACTTCCATATGGATTACAGCACCAGGGAACGGAGAAGAGTCAGTGAGTGGGTCAGTGAGTCAGTGAGGCGGGAAATCCTCACGAGCTGTGGGCTACACTTCTAACCTGGTGCCACCTTCACTTCCTTTCTTAAACTTTCTCTTTGTACTCTTCATTCTGCCCTCTCTGTGGTCCTCATTCACCCTCTCACTTGTTCATTCTCTTTTGGCATTCATTATTAGAGTACCTAATGACTTTTCAAAGCGTTTTGTGGACACATGGGAGGCACCTAGCCTCAGCGAGCTCTACAGTTGCTCTGCAGTTGTCATTTGGTTATAGCAGATCTAACTATCAAGTAAAGAAATAAGGGAAAAATAAATGTTAAATGTGTAGTCATGATCCATTGTAAGCTTTTAAAGGAAAGGGGCTATATTGCATTTGACTCAGTATTCCCTGAGTCTGGTAGCCTTTGGCTACCAAATACCTCTAGGTACTCAGAGGACATTTGTTGAATGAGGGAATGAATGAATGAATGAAATGTATAGATATGAGTATGGTCATTTAAAGTTATCTCCTTCTAAACTCTACAATAAGGAGACATGTTATTATTCTTGTCCCTATTGATCAATGACTTTTAAGTTCCTGTATAGAAACTGCCTTCAGATTTAAATTACTAGTCTTTCCACATCTTTTGCAAGAAAAATTTTTAAAGTTGCCGTTTAAAATTTATGGCCCAGAGAACTGTTTTACAGACATTATCTTTTTATCATAAAAATCCTGTAAAGAAATTGTTATCATCCCCATTTTGTAGATGAGGAAATAGAGACTGAGAGAGGTTATAGACTTACCTAAAATCTCAGGACCAGTAATTGGCTGAGCAGAGAATCAATCAAGATCTTCTGACTTAGAATCTTGAGCCCTTTTTAGTATGCTGCCCCCTGCCTCCCCATACTCAAAACCAATGTCCCAGGCTTGTTTCCCATCTCTATTTCCCATGGTTCTGAAAAACTTTTGGCTGTTATTAAAGATCAACTCAATCTACACACATAAAGTGAAGATTTCCTATCCTTGCAATTACAATAAATTTGTTAGAGCCCCTAATATCATCCTCAAGGATGAGTTAACTCTAAGAATAATGGCAGCTCTATTGTTGTAAAAAGTAACTTCCCAACCATGTGTATTATTTTTCATAGATATGAATGTACAATCGGTTGTGTGCACACACACACCTGTGTGTGTGTTCTCTTTGATTAGTGAGAAACTGTCAGAAGGCCAAGAATAGGGACATAAATGTAACATATTTGAGATCTTTATTTTTTATTAACCCATTTATTCCTCACATCACTGCAAATTAGTCAACTAAGATCCAGAGAGGTTAGGAAAGAACCCAGATACCTTGTCTCCTGGCCCACTGTTCTCTGCCCTATGAGGTACCTCATACATAACAATCCAGCCTTTATTTCTGCTGGAGGGTCAGCAGAGAGAGAAAAGGAAGGAGGAAATCTCCAATACCACTCTTTGCATGTGTTGGAGTTACACAGTACTCCTCAGTTTGGCCAGGATGCCTGAGTTCTATTTGCCATCTGCTAATTATGCGCATGCTGGCACCGAGCCTGTGTGTATGTGTGACAGAGGAGTGAGAGGGAACAAGTTATCCTGATTCTGTTTATATTGGATAAAAGCTTCGATGCTTGAGAGTAATCTGTATCTCAGCTCTATTTACTTTGCAAATAGAATAAAAGTCTTACCGCTTGTGCTTAAGAGAGATGGGGCTGGGGGAGGGAAAGGGGCTGGGAAAGTAGAGGTACAGATGGGTTTTAGTGTGTTATAGGCAGAAAGGTGCTGGCCCATGAGCCCTGAGGTCCAGCCCTGCTTCTGTCACTGCGTATGTGTGACCTTGTGCAAACCCCTTTCCCTCTCTGGGCTATAGTTTCACTGTCTGTAAAATTTTGGACTAGAACCAGGAATCCCATATTGGCAGTCCTGCTCTTGAAATTTGGCCTAAGGACTTTTTTTTTTTTAATTATTAGCAAAGTGTTTTAAAAAGTATTTTTAAAAGTATTTAAAAAAATAACTTTAGGCTGCTGTCACACTCTACAATCCACAGGCCCCACTTCACTTTGCTGAATTTTTACATAGATGTTACCTGCCCACTTATAAAATAGTCTCCCCTTATTTGATTTAAGGTTTGTTTTCCACAGTTTCTGTTACTCAAGATCAACTACAGTCCAAAAGTATTACATGCAAAATTCCAGAAATAAACAATTCATAAGTTTCAAATTGGCACCATACTGAGTAGTGTGATGAATTCTCTCCTTGTCCTGCTCCAAGGTTGGGGATCATTCCTTTGTCCAGCATATCCACCTGTACACACTCCTCGCCCGTTAGTCACTTAGTGCCCTCTGGGTTATCAGATTGATTGTCATGGTATCACAGTGCTTGTGTTCAGGTGGCTCTTATTTTATTTAATAATGGTCTCAAAGTGCAAGAGTAGTGATGCTGGCAATTTGGATATGCCAATGAAAAGCCTTAACGTGCTTCTTTTAAGTGAAAAGGTGAAAGTTCTCGACTTGATGAGGAAAGAAAAAATAAATCATGTGCTGAGGTTGCTAAGGTCTATGGTAAGAACAAATCTATCCATGAAATTGTGAAGAAGGAAAAATAAATTTATGCGTAGTACATACAGCTGGACTAGTTTCTCTAGAAGTGCTCTAATGTTATAAACGAGCCTAAGCTTGTTTGTTTTTAATAGAATCTTGATCAACGTATGTGCAAGGGGGAGCGTGACATTGTGATTAAGTATCAGGGCTCCAAAGTTGGTCTGTCCAAGTTTGAATCCTTGCTCTGCCACTTACTACCACATTACTAATCTGCTGTGTGCCTCCATCTCCTCATCTGCACAATGGACACACTCCTGGGAGGATTAAATGAATCAGTGTCTCTAAAGAGCTCAGAACACGGCCAGGCACATCTTAAATGGACAGTATTGTTAGCTGTCACTGTGACTATTATTAGAGATTGCAATGGAATATTTACACAATCTTGTCTTGAGTAGCAAATGATCTTAGGATGTTTGAGGGCCTGATATTGTGAAATGTGTTCATTATAAAACACAAGGGCCAGGCTTAGAGGACCATTTGAGAAAGGCTCTCTACACTAGTTATGCAAATAAATATCTAAAACCAATTGGTCTCCATAATTCTTTTTATCTACACATTTTCATTTGCCAGCGTCTCATTCGGTCGCTAAGAAATTTGGAAAGGCAGTGCTAGGTCTGTTGGCTGACTTCATGAGATCCATTCCCCATTTCCACAAGGAGCTGGCACCTCCATTTCTCCCGGGCCGCAGGTGTTGGTTTTGTCTTCCTGGTTGGCCTGGCCTGGTGTGAATGGGTGGAACTTGGCTCTGACTTCTTCTAAGAACACAGTGTCACTTCTCATTAAAGCAGCAGGTGGGGGAAGAATACTTAAACAGAAAAGACATCAAAAATAGCAAGTAGTTCCCTGTTCATTTTTCATGTGGCATGAAATAAAAGTAGATAAGATTAGGAAATGAAGGCGAAAATGATGTGTGGGAGCTCTCTCTGCATGTCGTTGCATCCCTCTCCAAGTTGCAATAATAAGCATGTTTATTTGAGTAAAGTTCTCGACTTGATGAGGAAAGAAAAAAACATCATGTACTGAGGTTGCTAAGGTCTATTGTAAGAACAAATCTATCCATGAAATTGTGAAGAAGGAAAAATAAATTTGTGCATTACATATATATATATATATATATATAGTGTTTGGTACTATCTGTGGTTTTGGGCATCCACTGCGGGGGGCGGGGTCTTAGAATCTATCCCCAGCAGATAAGCAGGGATAGATCACATTCGTTAATTCTAAGCTTCAGACTCCTACCTGATATTTTTATAACCTGGTTAATATGGCCAGACATAGTAATATGTGTAGAATCAGATAAGCGGGTAAAGATTCTGGGGATACGTGCCTAAGGTCCCTCATCCCCTAAAGGACAACACCAAGGGAATACTGGCCTTTTGTGAAGATAGAAAACAAAAACAAGGGGGTGAAGACATGAGTCTACCATTAGTAGAAATTCTCCTTTGACACCTTTGGTCTTTAAGCAGAGGGAGCTGACAGGGAGAGTCCTGGGCACAATGACAGGTAAAAAAAGTAATTACCCTTACAGAAAAGAGCCGTAGTCCTCAAGAAAAGGAAAAGAGAAAAGGGAAGGAAGAAAAGGAGGCGGGAACTCCCAGGTTGCTAACTGCAGCTTTCAGCCCATATGACCCTCAGCTCACCAAGCTGGCTCTTCTATTTTGTGTTCCTCTCAGGAAAGTCTACAGGCCACCTGTCCTCTGATCTAATTCCAGAGTTAGGAGCTCGATGAAGTGCATGGAACAATGGCTTGCTCTACAGGGGTCTGTGTCCCCTGGGTTTTTGAAGGTTGTGAAACCGGTGTTGCTTCTCTGTGATTAACTCTGCTGAGTGTCTTGTGCTTTGCAATCTATAGGTAATCAATAGTGTGTGTGTTTATGTGTGAAGGTGAGAGGAGCCTCCATGCTCCTTGTCTTGTGTTTCCATGTAGAGGCACTTCTGTTTCTCAAGGGTTGTTATTGACATTTGGGGTGGAACCATTCTTTGTCATATGGCACAGTCCTTCATATTGCAGGATGGTTAGCCTTCCTTGGTCTTGCCCACTAAATGCTGGCTGCACTCTGCTCCACTGCATTTTCGAATGCCCACCCTGGGGAAATTTAGTAATAATAGAAAAAATTCAAAAGCACTAAGAGAGTAGCACTGTCTCCATCTCTCCATCTTTCCTCCCCAGGGGAGAAGCAGTAATTTCTCTCATTAGTGAATTTGGGTGAATGCTGAGCTCAGCCTTTTCTCTCTCACTTTTGAACCTGCCTGCTTCTAGAGATAACACATTTTTTCCTGCTTTCCACTGAGTGGGAAGCTTCATGAGAAGCCAGAGGTTGACCTGCATAGTCTCTTACTAGGTCCATAAGATGTATAGTTCACGGACGAAGTGTTATCAAACCATTTGGGGGGAAGGCCTAATATGCTGTGGAGCATATCACAGATGAAGCTAATATTTCGATCTCTATCTCTCTGTGTTCTGAGTCTTCTTTCTCCTGGACTTGAGAGGAGAAGCAAGGGGTGTTACTACCTGAGCACCTGGCCCCTCAGTGACTGTACATCTGATGGTGGCCAGGATGTCCTTTCCAGATTTTCTGCCTTAGTCTGTTTTTATCACCTGTCTCATAGAAGAATGTCCAGGAGGATACCTGTTAATGGAAAGGAACAATTCACTGCCCTTGTCCCAGCTGTACTGAGGAGGGAATCCTTAAAGGAGATGTCAGGACAGTTTAGTGATGGGCACAAGAGATTCAGGCTGGGCTTGACCTCTCTACCACACAGACATGGGCACTCTGCTCTTTTCTGCAGATTCTCCAGGAGCATGAAGAATAGCAGTGGTTTTGTCAGGTTAAAGATTCATTTCTGAACTCTGAAGGTGAACTCATGAGTAGGCTCATTTCATCCAACAGAGAACACAGTCCTGATGGAATAAAAGCTATCTTGCTTTCCTCCTTTCCAAAGGAGGAAAGCAAGCCTCCTCTGGGGTCCTCTGTGAGTGTCCCTGCTTAGGGCATAGTACAGGTCACACCACTCTGCTCACAGGGGTGGAGTTGGGTGGAGCAGGGAGGGGTCAGTGGGGCTGGAGAGGTAGTGGGTGTTTCCCCTGACACACCCGGAGACAAGGCGCTGGCCTTTTGTACCTCTGGAGAGGGTGGGAGAGGGTGGCCTCAGAGTCAAGGAGGCTCCTGCTTCAACACAGGCAATTCTGCAAAGAAGGGAGCTGTGGGTTGATGATGTCAGGCAAATGCTCTGCAGTAGGGATGGCTGCATCTACACTCAAAGGAATCTAGTCACGCACAAATAGCATCCACTCAATGGGGACCGCAACAGTATTCACAGGAATGGCTCAGACCAGAGTGTGTCTTTTTACATCAGGCAGCTCCAAGAAGAGGGCCAAAGGGGTCCTTTTGTGGGGCTGTAAACTGGATATAGCCATGACTCTTATCAAGAGCTGCCAGGCATTCATGCCTGGACCACAAATGCACCTATAACCCATCAATGCCTCCAAATTGTGTCTCTAAAGACCTCTCTCACATTTGTCAAACACAGCACTTGCTCCTAAACTCAAATCATGATGGTTACAAGTAAATTTGGTTGTCTTGTTTATAACTTGAAGCCCACAGGCTTTATCCAGGACAGAAAGGATCTGGGTGACTCCCAGGAGAAACATCTTGAAAGCTAGCATTCGCTTAGAGGATGCAGACTCCAAGAAGGAGATCTTCCCTGGCATCCTCACTAATATGAACAGACCCCTCTTGTATGTTCACCTAATCAGTGTAGATGCAGGCCTAAGTGGCGTGAGAAAACCAAGAAATTATGTCTGCTTGTGGTAGATCCATGACACTCCTTAGATGTCCTCTTGATTGGCAACTTGATTAGATTCAGTGAGTGACCCAGGTCCTCTGTGATCAATGATATCTCCCATGAGGATCCCATTCCAGTTGTATCTTCCTCCAATTCCCTTGTACATTTTTTTAAAAAAAGATAAGTAATGGTAATGGTATTTGAACAAGAAGTTGCAGTTCACTATTCATTTTTTCAAGCAGTATGCTCATTACCTCATTTGGCTCCCTTCTCTTTCAGCGTCCTGGGGCTCCCAAAGCTCTTTTGTTGTTTGCAGTCTACCTCCCACAGCTGTGCTTCCCGCCCATCCATGCGCTGCCTATCACAAACCATGCCTTGTACATCGTTCCTACTTATCCTATCAAACCTGGTCTGTCTCGTGTCCCATCTCCTTAGGGTCCTACTTTTTGTTAATGTGATGATATGTGACAATGTATTTGCATTTGAGCAAGACCAGCTCCTAAATAAAATGCCCCTTTAGCCCCATGCTTAGGACTTTTGCCTTGGTTAACATTCTGTGAAATGTGACTGTGGAAAAGAGATATGCAAATGTAGTTGCTCTGTAAATGTAAATAGAATAAACATACATATAAACATAAATTTACATGGGGCAAATCACTGCTTAAGAAAGAAAAGGGGGAAACAAGTCTTTTTTTCTGGTAAAGGGTAGGAGATAGAAATAGAACCCACTGTCCAGATGGAGACGCCTGATGGGAGAACCTACATGAGAATAGGAAAAGGAAAATAAACAGAAGACTGAGAAATGGAATGTGAGGCTTACTAGACAAAGCAGAAAGATTGGGGGTTATGGATACAATGTGTATAAAGGATGAAAACATGACTTTGGAATCAAAGAAAAATATGTGTGAAATTTTCAGTCTACCACATAGTAACCGTGTGATCTTGGGCACATTATTTAACTTCTCTAAGGCTCTACGTTATGTTGTACTTTTTCTTTCCCTTCCTTTTCTTTTCTTTTCTTTCTTTCTTTCTTTTTTTTTTGAGACAATGTGTAACTCTGTCAACAAGGCTGGAGTGCAGTGGCACAGTGTCAGCTTACTGCAGCCTTGACCTTCCGGGCTCAAGCGATCCTCCTGCCTCAGCCTCCCAAGTAGCTGGAACTACAGGGACATGCCACTATGCCCAGCTAATTTTTATATTTTTTGTAAGACAGAGTTTTGTCATGTTGCCCAGGCTGGTCTCAAACTCCTGGGCTCAAATGATCTGCCTGTCTCTGCCTCCCAAAGTGCTGGGATTACAGGTATGAGCCTATCTTATATATTAAGGGGATTCTAATGACCACTTAATGGGTTATTAGGCAATTGGATGAAATGACATATGTGAAATGCTTATAGCAGTGGCTGACACTTAAGGGACTAAATACGGTAATACTATTTCGTTCCTCCCTTTCTCCCCCATTAAGTTCAAGAGGCACAATGACCTTGGTAAAGTTGATGTTGGTTAAAAAAAGAGAGAGAAAGAGGGTTATAGAAATCTAGTTAAAGAAATGCTAGATGTGAGAACTAAACAGAAAACCTGGTCAATCCATAATATCAGAGTGTTGAGAATAAAATAACTTCTGTCTGAAATTTGGAGTCGTCTTGGAAATCACCATTAAGGTATTGTACCTTAGGAACAGAGCTTAGGTAGACTAAGAAGGAATAGGGTAGGGCTAGGATCAGAGAAAAGTCAACTGGGAAAGCTGGTGCCTGAGGCTGAGAAAGGTGGAATACTCCAGATGAGGTGCATGAGTGTTGGAATCAGGCCAAGTTTGTTTTAATGGTGTCAGTGCTTAGCTGCTGTATGGCTTCAGACACAGTGCCTAATACAGGTATCAATTTGCTCATCTGCAAAATGGGGGACAGCTAAAGTTCTTATCTCATAGGACTGATGTCAAGGATAAAAAGATAATATACACCATTTTCATAATTCACTGCCTGGCATATTTTAAATTATATAACTATTAGCCAGTGTTATAATTTGCAGTATCCATGGGCATGGTGAGTCCTGTGCATCTCTTCCCTCAGCTGCATTGTCACGTCTGAGAATAATCCATCACTTCAACCTGCTGGGTGAGTGCAGGGCCTGCTAAAGAATCATCAAAGAGAAGGAATTCCAGACATGAGGGTCTGGAGTGAAAAAGAAAGGGAATCAGAAAACACGATGATGGAAATGGAGATACATAGTGAATTCTATTGTGGACAGCCAATGTCTGTCTACTCATCTATGCATGCATTGATTCAACAAATATGGTTGCATATATATTATGTGCAAGGTGCTGGAGATGAAGCAAAGAATAAGAGAGTTGTGATTTTGAGAGAAAAAGAAGCAGTAAAATTTTGATCAGGGCCATAAAGGGCATGAGGGAAAAATCAGGGTGATATGAAAGTAAAAGATGAGGAAACTCTTTCTGCAGAAATGACAGGTAAGCAGAGACCTGAAGGATAAGTAGGAGAAAGCCAGGCAAAGTTTGGAGCAAGTGGAAACAGCACATGCGAGAGCTCTGGGGCAGGAAAGACCTTGGGATCATTGGAGGGACTGAATTAAGACTGACTTGCCTGGAGCAGAGTGAGGGAGAGAGGGAGATGAGAATACAGCTGGTGATGCGGACCCAGGCAGATCACATCAGGTCATGCAGACAATGTTAAAGATTTAGTATTTATTCCAAAGAATTGTAAGACGGTAATGAAAGGAAAGCTAATAACATTTTTTAACAGGAAAAGAAGATCCCCTCTGTTTAGCTTTATTTACATGGCTAGATTTTCTTTAGCCAAGCGTTTGAGTGTTGCCCCAGAAGTTTCCACCAGCTAAGGTACCATGAGTGTCGAGGTCTTCACCACTGATTCCCCAGCACACTTATCTCTGGGCCCTGGGCACCCAGGAGATGTGGTCAGTGAAGCTTCTGGGGAAGATTCTTAGCCTCAGGATTGGATGCGGATGGTGCCGGTGGCAGGTGGTATGGTCCAGGCATGGAGTAGGGAGCAGCTGGAACTGGATCTGAGTTGGGATATCCTCATACTTCTATTCCAAAAGGTCTTAAACAACCCCAGAGAATATTTTGGATATGTGCCAATAAACGTATCACCAGAACAGCCAGTATTAATAATTATTGCAAAGCTTCCTCTGTATCCATAATTTGTTTTTCAATGACCACCTCTGTGATAATAGGCATAAAATTATTTAATAGCAGGTTTGAAGAGCTACTAACCAACATCTGATTAAACCACTTCTTTTGACAGGCAGAAATAACTACGCAAGTTTATTGAATGCGTACTATATCCCAGGCATGGTAATAATTGCTTCATATACATCACTTTATTTAATTATCACAGAAATCTTACAAGTTATTTATTTTTAAGCCCCCTTTTTTTTTTTTTTTTTTTTTTGAGACGGAGTCTCGCTCTGTCGCCCAGGCTGGAGTGCAGTGGCGGGATCTCGGCTCACTGCAAGCTCCACCTCCCGGGTTCACGCCATTCTCCTGCCTCAGCCTCCCAAGTAGCTGGGACTACAGGCGCCCGCCACTACGCCCGGCTAATTTTTTGTATTTTTAGTAGAGACGGGGTTTCACCGTTTTAGCCGGGATGGTCTCGATCTCCTGACCTCGTGATCCGCCCGCCTCGGCCTCCCAAAGCGCTGGGATTACAGGCGTGAGCCACCGCGCCCGGCCAAGCCCCTTTTACAGATGAGAAAACTAAAGACTAGAGCAGTTAAATAACTTACTGAAAGAGAAATAGCTCATAAGTAGTTAAGCTGTTTCTCTGCTTCTCCCACTTTCTCTCGAAGGACGAAGAGACCATGAAATTAAAGGGCTTAGAGTAAGTGGGGACTTGAAAGCAGGCCACACTAACACAAACACCACCACCACCACCACCACAACAAAAGGTGAAATTAATTTTAATCATATATTTAGTTTACTTGACCCTTACTTCCAAAATATCTTTTTGTGTGCCATCCTTATAAAAGTTATCCGTAAGATGTTTTACATTTTACATTCTTTTTTCATGCCCGCTCTTCAAGATCCATGGTATATTTGGTCACTTCCAACACATTTCGATTTGGCCTAGTCACATTTCAGGTGCTGAATAGTCACATGTGGCCAATGGAGACCGCACTGAGCAATGCGTTTAACTAGTAACCTATCTACAGTAACACTACTGAGTTTAACAAGTCATGGAAGTCGAGTGAGAAAATATATGTAATAAGTACACAGTCCTGTGTTTGGCACCTGGTAGGCCCTTTGTAACTCTCTCTCTTTTTGATTCCTTCCCTTAAATCACAAAATATTGAAGATATCTACTTGGAAATCTGGTCTTTCAATGATCCACATTAAATTCAGGAAAGTTACCATGTAGCATTTATCAACTTATTTCCATTTTGCTTTGTTATGCATTACATAGTTATGGGGCAGCATATTTCTTATCTAATTATGCTGTGTAGATTTTAATTCTGAAGTAAATTTTCCTTTTCTGACTTACGAGCAAAGAAGGCCCTAAAGCAACCTGGATGGCAGGGTGAATTCAACCTGAGGAAATAGATAGGCTTAATCATTGACATCGAGAGCCAATGGCCCATCTACCAGTGAGGATGGGGCAGATAAACACTCAGTTCTATGTGCACCAGGGGGAGAGCTAATTGGTTGTAGGATATTATTGGCAGAACAATTGGAAAGAAGCAGATGATTTCTTAGGGAGGCAGATCTGTTTCCAAAGTGGAAGATACAGGGAATAGGTAAATATCGCCCCCTTTATTGCATGGTCAGCTTTTTAAAATTATAGCATAATATCAATATGGGAGCTGGCTTAGATTAGAAACTGAGCTTGAACATGCTTCCTTTGATCTTTCTACTTCAACTTCCCTGTGCAGTACCGCACACTACCCTTCATTCCCACTTTCCTCTTTCATCTCCCTCCTTTGGAACCACCTCCAGTTCATTTGCCAGCCGATTTCATGATGGAGCAGAAGTGCCAATCAATCATTTGGCCATCAGTAGGACAGCATTCCCAATCTGCATTAGCCTGCTGGGCTGACTTCCAGAACATCATCTACTATACATGAATTATTACAGAAACATTATTGCTGTCAGCATATTCCACTCTATACAACTACCTATTATTATTTTTTTGGCGGACAACACTGAAATTTTAAACAGTTCAATCTTGCTTAAGTAATGTGAATTTGGTGGCTCCAGAAACAACTTTTTGCCTCATCAGTGAGAATCTGCCTGCAGCAGTGGTTGGGCTTAGATGCAGGGGAAGGGATGGGGGTCTAGTGCAAATGGAGACTTGAGACAGCTTGGATTTACTTTCCCCTCTCTGATTTCACCCACTTCCCAGTGTCATTTCTCGTCTCCTTTACTGTGGATGGTAAGGTGAGGTTTCTGGGCTCCTGATGTTTGGGTAACAGAGTCGAGGGAGCTGGGGATAAATCCGCTGGACACCAGCAGGGTCAAGGAGCACTGCTTAGGACTTCTCTCACCAAAGAACCTATGTGCTGAAGAGCCCTGGGTATAGCTCAGCTGTCTCTGCGACTCATGCTGTGATGGGGATCATAGATCTAGCTTGAAAACTCATGAACAGAATTAGATGATTTTTGTCTCTTTAAAAACTCGTCACGGCCTGGTACAGTGGCTCACGCCTGTAATCCTAGCACTTTGGGAGGCCGAGGCGGGCGGATCACGAGGTCAGGAGTTCAAGACCAGCCTGGCCAAGATGGTGAAACCCTGTCTCTACTAAAAATACAAAAAAATTAGCTCGGCGAGGTGGCGGGCGCCTGTAATCCCAGCTACTTGGGAGGCTGAGGCAGAGAATTGCTTGAACCCAGGAGGCAGAGATTGCAGTGAGCCAAGATTGCGCCACTGCACTCCAGCCTGGCGACAGAGCGAGACTCCGTCTCGAAATAAATAAATAAATAAAAGCAAGAAAAGAAAAGAAATAAAAGAAAAACTCTGTCACAAAATGGGTCATTTATCATTCTGGAGTGTGTGTGTGTATGTTGGGGAGCCCAGGGTCAGAGTGGAAATTCAGGTGCTGATACCTGGTGGGAGAAGGTTGTTAAATCAGATGAATCAGACACAGTCAGGTGATTCCTGACAAAAGACGGCAAGGGGAAAGCCCAGGGCCACAGCCAGTCAAGTGGAAAAGAACTAAGATACAAAAAATACAAAGAAGAAGGTAATTTCAAATCCCAGAAACCAGTCAATGTACTAAAGTTCAGAGATAAATAGAACCAGGAAGGGGAAGCAGAGACACAGATGCGTGGCAGTAGCAATAAGGACTCCAGTTGCTGACGCAGTCCTTGGCCTTAATACCTGGGCTCTTTATTTTCTTCCTGTGTGGGCGTGAGCCACGGTAAGGCTGGTCTAGGACAAGCAGGAAGATGCAATGAGAATAAACCGCCCAAGGCAAACTGAGGAGGTGGAAAGAGAAATGATCCTCGCTGCTGGTGTTTGCTCCCATCTGCATTCTGCTGCTTCCACCCAGAGGACGGTGGGGTTGAACATCAGACAAAACTCTGGAAACCACAGCCCTTCCCTTTATTTTTCTTCAGAAATCCCACATATTTAGTGTTTTACCATGAAGATGCTTAGGCAACCATTTGGGTTGCAGAAACATTTTCTGGAGCATCAGGGATTTCATGGTGCAAACTTGATCTAGGAGTCTCTGTCCCTTTTGCTACTTTTCCCTTCCTCAGACAGGTTCGTCTAGTGAAGGGTCCCACTCCAGTTCCTGAGCCAAATTCAGGACAGGTAGGTAGGACCTACACCAATAGTTTTTGTCCTGCATTGAGTGGAGAGTAGAAGCAATCCACTTTATGCAACCTTGGATCAAGAAGTTCAGGTATGCAAAGACTCCTGTTTTCCGTGTATTATATTTTACTCCTTGGTGGACCTCGAATCCCATGACCTAGGAGTAATCTCTACGGATTCAGTAAGCCACCAATTCATGGAGCTTCTTATTTCTTGCAGTACAGACTCGGTTCACAGGGCAGTCTTCTGTCTCTGGTCCCAGGGGCTTCCCTGAAAGCAGCCTCACTCTTACCTGGCACCTCCGGGATTACATCAGGGAGAAGGCGTTCTTAATCTTGAACTAAACTTTCTTCTGGCAGTTTTCACTGGGGCTGTGGGGCAAGGAGGTTGGAGGTGGAGCCTGTCCTCTAGACTGGTCTCCAGTTTAACCTTCAAGTCTAAGGCAAATTGCTGCTCATTGCCTTTGATAATTGTTCAGATTTCAATCACAGATATTAATGTTTTCTATTCAAATGCATAATAATGCTTGGCCAGTTTATCTGGTTACTGCCTTGGTAATCCTAGAGTCTTTATCGCTTCTGTGGAAAATAGATCTTGTGGTAAAACTTATTGCAAATGCTTTCCTGTGTGTATATGGAAGGGGCAATCCCAGCAAAGCACGACTGAGGTAAAAATGAACTGAGACAGGGTAGGAAGAAAATCAAATACAAGGTAGTGCATTGTCAAGCTAGCCACGGTGTCAACAGAAAACACAGCTTGGGCAGGATCAACCAGCCCAGATCCTACAAACTAAGGGTTTGTGTGTATTAACATACATGTTAAAAGAATAAAAAGGGCCAGGGGCAGTGGCTCACGCATGTAATCCTAGCACTTTGGGAGGCCGAGGTGGGCAGATCACGAGGTCAGGAGTTCAAGACCAGCCTGTCCAATATGGTGAAACCCTGTCTCTACTGAAAATACAAAAATTTGCCAGCGGTCGTGGTGCACGCCTGTAATCCCAGCTATCTGGGAGGCTGAAGCAGGAGAATCGCTTGAACCCGAGAGGCGGAGGTTGCAGTGAGCCGAGATTGCGCCATTGTGTTCCAGCCTGGGTGACAGAGCAAGCAAGACTCCATCTCCAAAATAACAATAAAAATAATTTTACATTTTTTGAATACTCACTATTAAGCAAGCATCATTCCCTATCCTTTATGGAGACTGACTCATTTGGTCTCTATAATAGTACTATTAGTAGCCCTGTTTCATGGCAGAGAAAACAGATGTACAGAGATGCTTGAAAGTGGCTGTGATAGTATTTAAATCCAAGGGGCTTTGTTTCAGAGCATACATACCCCAACCCTCCATCATATTGGCTTTCAGTATAATGAAGTGTTTTGCATATTAAATATTCCTCAGGTATTTATCAAAGGTCTCTGGAGCCATGGTGAGGGGATGCAGGACCCCTATAAAATCTACTGTGCATTTACGTCACAGTTTTTTCAAATTAAAATGCTTAGGAATTAAGTCCCATCAAGAGGGTATGTCTAAATTTTGGTTAGGTATATACAGGTTGAAATGTTGTAATGTGATAGAGGCAGGTCTTCCTAACCCTTTGGGTTAAATTCTATAGCCTCTCTGTTAATCTTCTCTTTGACAGCAGCCTTTTGGTAGTGCTGTTTATGTGTGTGTATGTGTATCACACACATACATAAATGTGTGTGTGATAGGACTATAGATGTGTGAGGTTCTTCAACCCACAAAAGTCAGCTGTACGTTGTGCCAGGTCTGAAGTTATAGCAGGAAAAGTCGGTGGGCCTGTCACTAGAAACCAGGTCTCATGTATGAATACTTTAGAAGATCAGAAGAGACCTTGTCAGTCTGGGTCAGATCTGAGGTTTAATGAACTTAATAATGATCCTCTCAGAGCACCCCAAAATATGCTGCTGAAGGTCTCAGACATGAGGTGAGGGAAGTCCTGAGACATCCCTTATTAAATCTGAAGGATCTTTCAGCCACAGGTTGATTAAGTATGAGCCTGGGATTACGTTAAAGTAAAAATTGCCAAAAACTAGACAATTACATTGCATTTTTGGTGCTATATGTTTATTTTCACTTTCTCTATGTCAGAAAATGAGGAACGGTCTGCTTTGTCTTCTTTCTCAAGGCTTTCTAGCTTTCTTCTGTTTTGCTTATTGCAGTCCTGGTTGGATAAACAGATATGCCCTGGAATGTCTCAGGAAACATAAATAGGGTGTGTTGGATTTGACAGAATATCACAAGCTATTTCTGTTCACATTGGGTTTTATTATTCTTCTTAAAAATATACATATATGTTAATATACACAAACCCCTCAAACCTTACTTTCTTGTGAAGTTATTTGACAATGTTCCTAATATTTAATAAATATTATCTAGGTCCAGTGATGTTCTCTAGTAACATATTAAAAAGAAAGTCTTAAAAGGCATTAGTAATACATTCTTGACAGATGATGTTGAAACAAGCTGTTCCTAGAGAAGATTCATTATAACATAGATTTAATATTAAAACAATGGACTTTATTCTCATCAACTGGATGCAACAGAAAGAGAAACAACTTATGAAACAACTTATGCTAGTGTGTGTGTGTGTGTGTGTGTGTGTGTGTGTGCAGGCTTGTGCCCAGAAGATAAATGAAAATCTTACAGCTGTATAGATCCTCCAAAAAGGGGTGATGGTGGGGGTGGTGGAATCGGACCTCGTAGGTAAAGCCAGCTACCTGTCTGGTCACACTTAGCAACTAACCTCTTATGTCATTAAAACTTAGAACTAGAATAGATTCCATGATTTTATAGATGAGAACAGTGAGGCTAGGGAAAGGAATCGCTAGTTGGAGATACAGCCAGGATTCTACCTTTATCCTAGGTCTTCCAGTAGCCAGTCGGGCCCAGATCATAAATCCTTAAAGTGTTCAGAAGAATGCTTGGAGGCTTAGGCTCTGCTTCTCTCTTTGGCTAAGGAATAAGTTTTAAAAATGCGTATTTATCAATTATTTGGACTCTGAATTTAATGCATTATTATATGTTCTTGGGCAATCTTTATACTATCCTCGGAATTCATAAGGAAGACTAATAAGCAAATGCTGTCCTCAGTTTCACAAAGGGGGAATTATAAAAACTATAGATTTGTGATCTTGATATACACTCTTGGAAAAATGCTGGAGTATGTTATTAAGAAGCTGGTCGATGAACACGTAAGAAAAGAAAGAGGTGATCACTAGAAGCATCCATGATTTTCTAAAAGCAAGACATGCCAATTAACCTCAGTTCTTATTTTTTTGGGGGGTGGACAGAGTCTTTTTTGGGGGGGGGTTGGGGACAGAATCTTGCTCTGTCACCCAGTCTGGAGTGCAGTGGTGTGATCTCAGCTCACTGCAAACTCCGCCTCCCGGGTTCAAGCAATTCTCCCGCCTCAGCCTCCTGAGTAACTGGGATTACAGGCACATGTTACCATGCATGCCACCACGGCTGGCTAATTTTTTGTGTTTTTAGTAGAGACGGAGTTTCACTATGGCCAGGCTGGTCTCGAACTCCTGACTTCATGATCCACCCACCTTGGCCTCCCAAAGTGCTGGGATTACAGGCATGAGCCACCACGCCCAGCCACCTCAGTTCCTTTTTTGACATCTTTACTAGACTGGCAGAAGGAGGGTGGTGATGGTAGGGCAGGTAGTGTAGACATAGAGAATGGCAATAGTGTAAGTCCTATGAAAACATTTCCCCAATAGCCTCCAGAATGACCTAGAAAATACAGGCTGTGTATATGTATTTGCAGCTATTAGGACAATGCCATTCAAAGACAGTCGATCTCTGGAATGTTATCAACAAAGAGGAAATTGTTTAGTATCAACTTATAGGTTTTTGTTTTTCCTATCCCTGTCGTGTTCCAAGTATTTATCAATGACTTGAATGAAACATTGACCATCTGCTTATCGAATTTGTGATGACACAAAGCAGAGGTCAGCTAATGTGACAAATGATATAAACAAGTTTTAAAAGAGCTTGCTATCTGGAAAGATGGATTGAAACTAACAAGATAAATTTAACAAGGATAAACGCAGAATCTTGGTTTTAGGTTTGAAAGAAAGCTTGATTTCACAAAAAGAGGATGAGAAAGAATTGGTCTGAGGGTAGTTCACTTCATAAATATCTGAGTGGATTTAGCTGACCATAGACTCTACCAGGCCAACATGGTATTAGGTTGGTGCAAAAGTAATTGCGGTTTTTGCCATTCCTTTTAATGGATAAAAATGTTAATTTTAATACATATACATTTTAATTTAATAGATAACAATGTTATATACTCTATCTATCTATCTATCCATCCATATCTATTAAGAGGATCTTATCTTCAGAGCAATCTGTCCTCTGCTGGAGAGGAGATCATCAGAGCACTGTAGTCAGTTCTGGGTTCCATGTTTACAAGAAATATTAACAAATAGAAGAACAAAGACCACTCTGAAAAGTGTTTGGACATCTTGTCAACTGAAGATTGATTGAGAAAGTCGACAGTGCATTTAGAAAAAGAACAGTTGGGGAAGTAATAACAACTGTCCTAGACATTTGAAAGCATCTCAAGGAGAAGATGAATGGGATAATTCCACTGTGTTCTAGAGGGCAGAACTTATGAATGGTGTGACAGGGAAGCAGATACTGACTCAATGTAAAGAATATTATTTTTTCAATAGTTAGAGGTATCTATATGTGGATAAGACAACTTTTGAGTTAGCCGGCTCCTGATCACTCGTGGGCTTCAAAGCAGAGGTTAGGTGACCACCTGAGAATCAAGATGCTGGTAAGAAGATTCTAGCACAGAATGGGTGGATAGACCAGAAGATCTCCATACTTGCTTCCAACTCAGAGATTCTGAACCCATTCCCTGGGTTAAGCTTTCCTAACCACCAAATGGTGCTTGGCCTTGACTCCCATAGCCACTGTTCACATTGTCCCCCGGCTTCCTCACTCCCTGTAACTCTGTAGAAGCAGATGGGGAAAGGAAAATAAACTGCTCTAGGGAGGATTGGGGTTGTCTGAAAGTTCTATGTGTTCCAGATCTCAGCCCTGAGACCTCCAGAAAGCAACTGCCCCTCCAGACAGCCCAAATGCAGGAAAAGATTTCTGAACTTCAAATGAAAAGGAGAACCACCACTTCTTTGAAGTGCATGTATCAAAGCTTTAATAAGAGCTAATAAAATTGTTATGTTGGGTTCACATCTCCTGAGAGCATCAAGTCAAAGCCTCCCTGGGGAAAGAAACTGTTATATAACTATTCTTACAATTTTTATTTTTTTTTGAAATGAATCTCTGATTAAAAGACCACAATAATTATTTCAGTTTAACGTAGAGTACTAATTCAATCGCAATTGATTTCTTCAGGTTTTATTTGCAACAAAGAAAGTGTCAAGTAGTCACTAAACACTGAACAAAAGATAGAGCCACCTAAGTGAGCAACCTGGCTGTGGGCAGATGGCTGTGTGTCCTTGTCTCCTGGGAGTCCTTCCTGTCCCAAAGCTTCTAACAATGGCAATAGTTAATTCTTTCATCAGTGAAGGGTTTAAATTTCCAGAATGATTTTACGTAGACAAGGACAAGCCGCTTCTAGGAGCCTGCAGGTGCACTGACCACTAGTCTTTGGAACCAAGGGCTGCCCATGGATGTGGAGGAGCAAAGGGTGAGGTACGTCACCTGCATACTCAGAACCAGTGCTGACAAAATAAAATGGTACCCAGCACCCAGTCAACCAGTAGGAGTTTTGGCAAGGAGCAGAACCCAGGAAAACTGATAGGCTATGTGCCAGTTATCATCCTAGAAAGTGGGTATGATTATCTCTAATTCCCAGCTGAAGAATAAAAACAAATTGCATCAAATGATTGCTCATGGCCACGCAAATATTAAATGGCAGCGCTGGGACTTGAACTCCAGGCAGTGTGATTGGTTCTCACTACACCTCATAGCCCCTAATGGAGTATAATTTCAGTCCATGAAGGGGTGGCCAATGAGATTCTTTCCAGCTTGGAGCATATGCACTCACCTGTGAAGATGCCTCAGACACCAAGCTGACATCTGCCATTTCTGATTCCCCAAGGAGAGGAGGAAGGGGTGTGCAGCCAGGAAAGAGAGGGGTTAAAGGCAGCAGAGCGCTAGGGAGGGCAAGTGCTCTCAATGACAGGAGAATGTACTCACACACAGCCCAGAGCTCTGGAGCAGCCTCCGGCAGAAAAAGGGCAACATTGGGGGAACACATGGAAAGGAGGGACCAGCTTCTGAAAGCCATCTGGAGAGTTGGAGGCAGGGAGGACTCCTTCCTGGTCTGAACCATTCAACCAAACTCTTAGAGGCACGGAAACTCCTTCCTATGACTTGCCAGGGTTCTTTGCCAGCAACGTTTCTGAGTCGAGGAAAGGGGCAGAAAGGGGAAGAGGGAAAATATGGGGAAGATGGAGCTGAATGGGATGCTTGTGAGAAAGCAAGGGGGAAGACACAATAGATTCTGCTCTTCCCTTAAAGGAAAGAAGCCATTCTTGGTTTTATTTTTGATGCATGGGGAAATTTTGAGCTTATCTTACTTACCTGATGTCTGTGCCTAAGAATTTAAATATTTGTGTCCTTTGGATAAAGCATAAATGCAGGTTCTGCTCCTGTGCAGCGAGGGACATCTAATCAGGGTGGGGGAGAAAAGGATTTCAGTGAGAAAATCCCAGGGAGCTTGAATCCTCATTAGCTCATCTCTTTGTCCTTGGCCAGAATAGTAGTTATTATCCCAGTTGGAGGAGGATCTAGTGTCTGGGATTTCAGCAAGTTCACGAATCACCTGGGGATCTTGCTGATGTGGAGTTTCTGATTTGGGAGGCCTGGGGATGGGGGATAAGATCCTGCTTTTTCTGCCCTTTCCCAGTGATGCAGCTGCTGCTGTTTCTGGACCACATTTTAAGTAACAAGGGGTCAATCAGTTCTGCAGAAAGGGAGCCTGCACTCCAAGGTCTCACTGTATTCACAGTCAGGAAGTTTATCTATTTGACGGAAATGCAGCATGGACAACTAGCTCTTATCACTCTGCTTACACCAAAGGTGCAAAATAGCTGGCGAACCTTCTCTTCATGTTGATCCTTTGATTCTTTCCAATTTTGTGGTGGAAGCAGGAGACAATACAATTCTTGGCAGGCTAGGAAGGGTTGGTTCCTGAGCTGCCCCTGTAAGCGTGGCTGGACACCACTCTAAATGACTGATTGGAAGGACAAATGTGGATGGAAATAATGATGATGGAGAGAGTTGGGAAAAGTCTACAAGTTGGTTTGGGGTTTTGCAAACATATGCTTCTTTTGTGTTCCATATTCTTTTCCTAAGGCTGATTCCTGTGTTGCTGTTGGGGGAATATGAACAACTGTGCACATCTGTCTCCTGGGCTATTCTTTGTGCTTAGCTGCCTTCCAGTCAGAATTGGGTTCTTTTCAGGCAGAACCCTTGGTAGGAGCATGTGGTGTGTACTTCTGTATGGGGAACCCCCAACTGGCTTCAGTGCTTTTAGATGGGTTGAATTAAGGGTCCATCTGCCCAGGTGGAAACATTCTGTGCTAATTTGGAGCAGAGGTTGAACCTGCATCGCAGTTCCTGCTTTCCAAGCCTTCTGGGAGGAATGTAGCAGGGACCTCTTCCCTTTGATTCTGCCCCTCACCCTCAAATCTCTGGTCATGATAATTTTTTCTCCAGCCCCACAAAACTATATATCTTCTCTCACAGGTCTCAGTTAGAACCTAGCTGGCCCTTTTCAGCACTAGGGCTTATGTGTCCTGTGAACATGACAGATTCTGCCAAGAAGAAATGACTTCTGTTTTCCTGAAACGGAAAGGTTCCTTAGATGACACTTCTCCATAAGGGCAGATCATGTAAACCCAGGCAGATTGCAGGGTATTAATGTGCTGGTTAGTCACCAAGCAATGGCCCCTTCTCCTATGGGTGCTCCCACCAGCCTTCTTTGACACTTACAGGGTAGGAAGCTACTCTGCACTTAGCAACTCATCCTTGATGCCTCAAACATCTAAACCTCAATCCTAGGAAACAGCTGGAATGAGAAGGACTTGACTAATGAGCACTTAGACAAGGATTCTAGACCAGACTTAGCTAGTCGTGAGGTTTTAGGTAAGTTACTTAACTCTGTATGACTCAGTTTCATTTCCTTGAGTGTGAGGGTTTTTGACTCATTCATTCATGTATGCATTCATGCAATATATACTAATTCAATGTATATTTTACATTCACCATAGAAGTGCTCTATGGGGCTCTGTAGAAAATAGAAAGGGAAAAAACACAATACTTTAAAGCATCCACTCAAAAAAGAATACCTTCCTACTGAAACTATGCCAAGAACTGGCAGCATTGGCATCATTTGGAAGCTTGTTAGAAATGCAGAATCTTGGGTCCCACTTCAGACTATGCATCAGAAACTACATTTTAACAAGATCCCCTGGGTGATTTGTGCACCCATTAAAGTTTGAGAAGTACCAACTCCATGGGTAATATTGTGTTCTCTGCTTTAGCGTGTATTGTCTCGTACCACACATCCTTTTCTTTAAGGAGCTCATAATCAAGAAAGAGAGCAAGAGATTTTGACAAATCCCTACTCTACAATGTTCTGAATGTCTTAACAAAGATGGGAAGAGAATACTATGGAAATTTAGATGAGCCAATAATCGACCATGCCATTCATTCATTCATTCAAGAAATACTTGAACACTTGCTATGGGCCAGGTACTCTCCTACATGTTGGAGAAATAGAAATAAACCCGGAGGAAACATCTTTATTTTTATGGAGCTTACATATGAGTAGGGAAAAACATAAAATAAACAACTTTAAAAATTTATAATTCCAGATAGTGATGCGTGCTGTGAAGGCAATGAACAGAGCAATGTGGTGCCTAAGGAGGGGGGAGTAGGAATTACTTTTGGTGAGTTGGTGTAGAGAGGTCTCTTTGAGGAGCTGAGACCTAAGTGATGAGGAAACAATAATAGGAAGACCTGATCTGTGGGGACTGGGAGAAGAGGATGATAAGGAAGGAGGACAGCAAATGTACATGTCGTGGATAAATCTGACCTCTTTTTGGTGTAGCAGGAATCAGATGTGTTTGGTAAGGGGTGAAGGTATAGGCTCAGCAGGGGCTGCTCAGGCCATGGTCAGTGTTAGATTGAACTTCACTCAGAGTAATCATAGTAATATATACAGATATAGATTGAAAACAATTAATTCTGGTTGCTGTGTGGAGACTAGATTGTAGAGGGTAAGGCTGTAAGAGGCAGACTAGGCAGAAGGCCTCTGCAGTCATGCAAGTGAGTGACGATGGTGACTTGGACTAAGACGGTGGGGGTGGCATGGCCAATGGATTGGGATACACAGTGTTTTGGGGGTAGGATCAAAGCACCTGGGGAAGATCTTTTAGAGGAGTCTATGATGTGATGAGATGGGCTTTGAAGAATGTGCAGGAAGTCACTAGACAGAGATTCAAAATTCCAGGTTTTGAAGACCAAAAGTGTGGAGTCATGTATTTTGGAAGCAGAAGTTAGTTCATGGTATTCTTCTGAAAGAACCAAGACAAAAGAAAATAACCTAAAGTGCATATCTCTCATAGAAATGCAGTTCTTTTCATTTTCAATGGCAGCCCTAAAATGTGTGGTGACATTCCTGATTTCTATGCAACCTCTCCAAATCCCTTTACCAAGCTCTATATTACAAAGGTCTAATCATCTGGGAGAAAAGAAAGGCTGCTCTCCTTTTTTCCAGTAAATCAGACTTGGTCCTGGATCTGCTCAGCTTTGCCTACTCTTAGAGAATAAACTATTTTGGTCTTCTGAGCAGTACGTTTTCAGCACCAAATTCCAGATTGCCCCAGAAACCATTCAATCCAAGCAAGAAAATAAATGTGAATATCACTAACTCAGCAGCCTGGCACGGCAGACGACCCCATTACGTCAATCACCATCAGCAGATCACTGTAACTGGTGGGCTGTCATCCACCTGGAGATTAATTGCTGAGGACCTGTTGTATGTATTAATAGCTCATTTATTCAGATTGATCTTTCACCCATTGATCTTCAATCCCTGCATATGGCCAGGTAGCTATTGCTCTTGTGATCTGACTTCTGGAGCCAATCTTTCCTCTAAAAACCCCTTTGGGATTTCTTAGCAAGCGTAGCAGCCCGCATGTAGATGCTAAGTCCACAAACCACAGCTGCAGTCAATCTTGTCTCATCTCCAGAGAGTCAAGGTATGCTGCTGCTTCCTACCTTCCTACAATTTGATTGATAATATCTCAAGTTCCAAATCTGTAATCAAAGCACTACTGTCAGGCTGCAATCTGAATACTTACTTGAATAGCTTCAGCACCTTGCCCCTTGGAAATTTGAGCTTCCTTCTTATCTTCCTGCCTTCCCTGTGCCAGCTGGCATCGTTGGACTGGATAGAGAACCTGAGGTCAGCTTAACCCTTTAAGTGTCTGCCCTTTAAGTAACAAGGTGTCAATCAGTTCTGCAGAAAGGGAGCCTGCACTCCAAGGTCTCACTGTATTCATAGTCAGGAAGTTTATCTATTTGACCAGCTAACCCTTACTCGTCTGTTATGGGCTGAATTGTGTTTCCCTAAAATTCCACTCTAGTGGAGTTACTTCACTCTAGTAAGTGGCTAAGTCTTACTCCTCTGTTATGGCTGAATTGTGTTCTCCTAAAACTCACATGTTGAAACCCTACTCCCCAATACCTCCAAATGTGACCGTATTTGGATATAGGGACTTTAAAGGGGTAATTTTGGTGAAATGAGATAATAGGGGTAAACCCTAACCCAATATAATGGGTGTTCCCATAAGGAAAGGAGATTAGGGCACAGACATGTAAAGAGGGAAGACATTGAACAAAGATGACCACCTTCAAGCTAAGGAGATATGCTTCACAAGAAACCAACCCCACAAACACCTTGATCTTGAACTTTTCACCTCCAGGACTGTGAGAGAATAAGTTTGTTTAAGCCACTTAGTGTGTGACACTTAGTTATGGCAGCCTGATCGGACCAATCCACCTTATTTCAGGTCTCACCATACCTGCACCTTTTCTGAGAAGATTTCCTTAACTCGCCAATTAGCTTAGGTCATCCTGCTATCTGCTGCCATTTCTGTCTTTTCACTGCCCTAACATTCATTATGTTACAATTACTTATTTAATTACTCATTTTTAAGAGCTTGTCAGCTCCATAATGCCAGGGATGCCTGTCTTGTTCACTGCTTTATTAGGTAAGGAAACTAACTAATTGATATTTATTTGTAAATAATACAAATAAACTTCCAAATCTCAGTTACAGCACAATAAGAATGTTTCTCATTCATATCACAGTCCAATGTGGGCCCAGGATTCAAGCACTCAAGTCTTTATCTGTGGCTAGATTTTCCTCTGCTTCTCTGAAGGGCTCCAAATTTAGCTGGTAGTTGTGGAACAAGAAAATGATCATTGGTGGGAGGTTTCCATGAACCAGACCTGAGAGTGGAGAACCTTACTTTTGTTCATATTCCATTGGCCAAAACCTAAGTCACATAATCTCAGCAAACTGCAAGGAAGGCCAGTAAATGTAGTCCAGTTGTGTGTCTAGGGAGCAAAGGAGAACATGGCTATTGGTGAACAGGAGCAATTTATGCTATGACCACTATATCTCCAGCACCAGTCATACTGCCTGACTCATAGTAGGTATTTAATAACTATTTTAATTAATTAACTCATTAATTTTCACAAGTCACACACCTAGCCTTAGGTGGAACTAGAATGCTTTAGAATTGTAGTCCCTGCTTTCTCTATCCAGGGGCTTTTCATTAGACAATGTTATCTCATTTGTACACACTTGGAAGAGGAAAATCTCTCAGTCTTAAAAATCCCCTTGCAAGAAACAATCTCAACCAAGGAAGTTATTTCATAAAAAAACTCAACCAAGGAAGTTATTTGTACTGAGCAGGCAGCTTGGTATGTGTTTTTGCCATCTTGCTACAGTTATTCATCTCTATTAGACTCTAAGCTCCTAGAAGGCAATGCATTAACCATCTGGGTATCCCAACTTCAAGCCCAGTGCCTGGCACTTCTGTAACGTTCTTTCAGCCAGCATTATTGAGCATTTACTATATGTTGCACAAAGTGCTTCACATCCGTGAGCTCGTTAAATTGTCCCATGAAGTAGCAACAATAATTGTCTGTTTTTAATATATTGAAACCCAGTGCTCAGAGAGCTTGAGATAACTTGCCAAGGGTCACAGAACTAGAAAGTAGTTAAAGTAGGACACAAAGTCAAGTACCTAGGTTTTCAAAGCCCATGATCTTAATCGTTATTCCAAGATGCCTTTCGCGTGCATGCTGTTTAAGTTGAATGGAAATTGGCCATGGGCATCAGAGCTGAGTTGGCTGCTTTTGTGAACCTGGTCTTATTCTTGATTTCAAGATTATATGTCTCTCATTCTCTTGACAGCAGAGGATGGGCTGTACACAGCATGCCTAGCACAGAGCCTGCTGCATAGAGGATCTTCAATAAATGTGTGTCTCTGCTCTCTACAAGGTTAATGAACCACAACATAAGGAAGAAAAGGAGTAGTCAACCTGCCTATACTGGTTGGTGCAGGCTTCCCCAAGTACCCACCCACACACTGCCTTCACCTGGCCCCCTGACAAACTACTCTGCCCAGAGCTCTTCTTGGTGGGTCCTAGCATCCTTTGGGAGTGAAGGACCCTTGTTTCCCTCTGTGAGATTGATGGTGGTGGTAGAGAGAAGGAACTAGAGGTTTCTGATGGAATTTTCATCTTGAAGATAAGATAGAAAGGAAGAAATATTCCTAGTGAGTCCAATTCTCTCAGGAAATAAGACAGATGTCTTTTCCTCTGGTCTTCCCCCTCCATTCTTCTGAACCCAGCTGCACCACAGCATCCCAGGTCCCTATTCTTTACAGCCTGTGGAGCTCAGAAGTAGCAGTGTTCAGATTCTAGTTCTACTATTCTGGCTTCTGGGAAGCAGAGGCTGAGGCCTAGCCTCCCAATCTCTTCTCAAATCCATCCCATAGACTGCATCAGAATGAAGAAATTCAATTGCATGCAGGTAAACTTCTCTTAGTGCATTATTTAAATTTTTTTGGTAATCCTGAAAACGGCATTTTACCCAGGATGTGTTATCAGTGAGCTCTCTGGGCAAATAATACACTAAAAACAAAATAAATAAAATAATGTTCTTTTTGTATACATTTGGCACAAGTGAAGACCCCTTCCTGTGTGGGTGCTTAGCTGAATTATTTTTGCCTACTGGCATTCCTGCCCCTAAAATGAGCAAGGCTGAACAGCTCGTCGAATGTGAGGAGGTCAGGCTCCATCATCTCGTGGATACATGTGGCTCTCTCTTCTCCCTCAGGTGGATGAGATGCAACTTACATAATAAAAATGGAAGCATTTCAGGCAATATGACAGAGCCATGTGTAGATGAAGAAGGATTTTCAGCACCTCTGCAGGAAACTGGAATTGGCTAATGGTTCCTCAGTATATGGAGAGAACTGATTTCATCATCCTCAGCAAAGTTTCCAGTGCTGCAGGAATTCGAGCTTTACAGCTTTGCTCCTACAATTGTCAGGAGCCTCTTGCGGGATGGCAAGTACAGAGAAGACTGAAGAAAGACATATTCCAGTCACCCCCAAGTTCATTTCCACTTCAGGCTGAGGGCCTGCCGGCCGAGGGAAACTCTGTCTCTTCCAATTTGGTTTGAATTGAGACCATCCATCCCGGTCGAACTGCATTCCAGGCTTTTTTCTTGCTGATGTCAAAAGGCTGAATGTGGACTTCAGGACGGCTTGAGGGCTGTCTTGCCTGCTAACACTGATTTTATGATATGCTAAACATAACATTCAATA
Source organism: Homo sapiens (assembly GCF_000001405.40). NCBI lineage: Eukaryota > Metazoa > Chordata > Mammalia > Primates > Hominidae > Homo > Homo sapiens. Next base: position 208,324,329 of record NC_000001.11, read on the forward strand.
GCTATTACTTCCACTGTCAGAAAAACAACTTGAGCTATCTATCTTCCTCTTCAGACTATATTACATTTCTCCCTGCAAATGACAACGCATTATAATATCTTTTATTATAATATTACTTATTTATCGCCAAAGGTTTTCCAGCATTAATGCTGAGGGCTCTCCTTCTTTATCTGCTTTTTGGTTTGTTTGTTATGAATGTCACATTTTATTTATCAAGATAGGCTCTGTTCAGAATTTGTGGAGCCACAGTCTTCTGATTTACTTCTTATGCAAATCTGAGCTTTTATCTCATTAGATTTCTCAGCACGTAATGAGCACAGGATGGACAAAGTGTTCTCCATTTTTCTTTTTTTTTTTGAGACAGAGTTTCACTCTTGTTGCCCAAGCTGGAGTGCAATGGCGCTACCTCGGCTCACTGCAACCTCCGCCTCCTGGGTTCAAGTGATTCTCTTGCCTCAGCCTCCCAAGTAGCTGGGATTACAGGTGCACGCCACCATACCCAGCTAATTTTTTGTATTTTTGTAGAAATGGGGTTTCACCATGTTAGCCAGGCCGGTCTCAAACTCCTGCCCTCAGGTGATCCGCCAACCTCAGCCTCCCAAAGTATTGGGATTACAGGTGTGAGCCACCGTGCCTGGCCTCCACTTTCTTGCTTTGTCTAAGGACCCAAAGGGAAAGCATCAGGATTTAGGATTATGGCACTTGAATGTTGAAAATGAGTTCCTGGGGTCATCTGTGCGAGTGCCCCCCTCTCTTACGACAGGACTTTAACCTTGATAGTCCCATTTTAGCAGGAACTCTGCCAAATGAGCTCCTGTAATAGTTCTTGGTGTCTTGTTCCACAGTTTAGCAGCCTTCCTTCTGAGAAACTCTTCCTCCACATCCCCCTCTAAATTAAAGCTATTTCCTTAAGTCCAGTAAAAAATGTGATATTCTACTGAGACATTGTTTCTCTAAGAAGGATACTGGAAACCCCAATATAGAAAATCTCTTAAATGGCATACACACTTGGAGGCAGTTATTTGTTTTACAATAAAAACAAAAACCTAAAATCATGCTTCCTTGAAGAATATCTTCCTTAGTTCTCTTAAGTGACTGTGTATACATCATTAATGAATAGACAGAAAAGCTTTTTTGTTTTTTCTTTTCCCTCTGTTGGGATTAGGTAGATGTGCAGACAGAGAAGATAAATTAAAGTGCCAGCAAACTAATGTTTACTGAAAGTTTGACAGAATTGCTGATATGGTCCTTGGAAAAAATAGAGATATCCTTACATTGATACACTGGTATAAAAACATCAATTTGCATTCCACTTTTCTGGAAAGAAATGGGGTTCAATTGTACTTGAGAGTGAACCTTTGCCTTAAATTTCTCTAGAAATTTCTCTAGCACCTAAAATCTAATGGAGGCTGAGCCCCCAGTTAAGTCTGGCCTTGAACAAGTGGATAAGTGAGGGATATAGGAGTTGTTTACTCTCCTGATTTACGCTCTTTTTCCATCATAAAATGACCCCATCCTATCCTGCCTTTTCTCACCTGGGCACCCAGTACTAAAACAATGCTAACTTTTTCTGTCCTGTTCCAAAGATGATACCTGAGAGGCTAATGGTTGATCAAAGCCTGAGGCATTACTCCCTCCCAGGCTGGCTTACATTTCAATAGCAGACTATGGGAAAGCAAAATCATTATTCAAAGAATGATACTACCATGGTGGAAATTCAGACATCACAGAGAACTGAAGGAGGATATACTTAAACTAGTGGTGGAAGCAGAGGGGACTGTCAGAAAAGGATTTCAAATCAATCCTTATCAGGGATTCAAACCCTTCTGTCCATGAGACCACATCAAAATATCCAGTTGAGCAATCCTTCCTGCACGCCACATCTTGAGGCCCTCCCATTCTTTGGCAACATGCCAAGCACAGGACAAAGGCAAAATGCAACACCTTAGCCAATGCAGAGGAGTATGTTGAACATCCACACAGAACAAGACACCAGGTACTTTCAGCTGTTTTCCCCAAAACAGGTGCTGATGAGATGAAAGGCTTGCCCCTGATTGGAAGACTGTGTTGGCAGGCTTGTAGTTGCCATTCTTACACCCTGGCCTGCCCACCATCCTCATAAGAAGAGAAAATGGTGCAGCTGAGAAGTTATGCCTTATCATGGTGGGGAAGAAGGAGTGGTTTCAGTGTGACGTGGCTGACTGTAAGTTCTTGGGTACTGTCAGAAACTCATATTCCAGTCTCAGAGTCCTGCACTCTCCATTCAGCCCTTGAGCTAGCAAGGCACTGAGGATGTTAGCAGGCTCTGTGAATTATTCACAATGCAGAGGGACTCTTCCTAGAGCAGCATAGGCTTGTTTCTGAAATACAAAATGCAAGATTGGCAAAGTAGAAAAAAAGGATATTGAGACTATATACTTTGTTAGATTTGATGGCCTTTCCTATACCTGACTCTTTGGTGTTGTGCCCGCCCCCGCAACCCCCCCAAAAAAGATGATGAATTGAAAACAAGGGCCCTATATTCAGATGAACAGTTTCCTTGAATTTCCCCCTTGCCCCATTTTCCAACAGTCCACCTTCTATCCTTTCTCCTCCTGTCTATTATAATAAGTTTGGTTGATTTGGGTAGATTTGTTATCTCAAACTACCTCTGAGTCACCTTTTTAATCTTGGAGGAAGGACAACAGATCTAGTCATCTTATTTTTGATGAGTCTTGGGCATTTCCTGCAGTGACCATGGCCACCAGATGTGTAGACTCTTCCTCCTTGACACTATTCTCTCATTGATGGGCTTAGTTCAAGATGTCTCCAAAAGACTGCACTGCTGGAAGACTGGTAATCTTTTTAGTACATTAAGGTGAAAACAATCATTTACGAGCTGTGATTTGTGAAATGGTGCAATAACTATTTGCACATTGTTTTCTATTGACCTATAGACCCAAAAACTGAGCTCTCTGAAGCTATTGGTGAGTTCTGTGGGGATGGAGAGGAAGATCCCCCTAAATGCCTTACCCTCTTGGCATCTAAGTCCACCTGGGGTATAGCCTACCTGATTCTTTTGGATTTTTTTTTTAACCAGGTAAGTTATTTACCCCTGTTATTTATTAGAGGTGCCTCTTGCAATGTTAAATTTGCTTCTTCAAAACCATGTAGTTGATGACTTCTAGGTGAATGAGGTTGACAGAGTATAGGGGATGTGATCACCCCAATCTACTTTATCCTCTTAGTGTCATGGCTGTCAGCAAACTTTTTTTAGGGTCAAGTCCCAAGGGAGAAAATCAATGAAATGGTCTCTACCCTGGTCCAAATAACTCCAGATCCCATTTATCTCCCTTTCCAAGTACCTGCTTCCCCAAGTAACTAATTGGGATGGGATTTTTTTGATACCCATCTCTCTTTCTGCTGCCACAGATTCAATTCATGCTTTCAATATATATACATATATTTGCCTGGATGACTAAAAGAGCCCCCTGGCTGTTTCCCACCCCTGCCTCCAGTCTTGCACTTCTTCAGTTCATCCTCTATAATTTAGGCACAACAACTGTTCCAAAATGTGAATCTGATCATTTCCGTTTCTTGCTTAAAATTCTCTTCATTTATCTTAGGATAAAATCTAAGTTCTTAGCAAGCCGCAAAAGACCCTTTATGGGTCCCGATCTCACATTTTACCATCATCCCCATTGGAATTATATGCTACTGAGAGCACCCATCCCTCACCAGGGATTCCTTTCACATGCACTCCCACCTTTTTGGAATATTCTCTCTGAAATCATCTAGTCTTTTTTGGTTAACTTCTATTCACCCTTTAGGATTCACCTGAGAGATTTCCTTTATCTTGAGGCCATTTATAGTTAACTGCTATGGATTAGGTTAGAGCTAGGTATCCATTCTGGGGGTGCCCAACAACCTTCGGGTTTGTTTCTGACAGAGCAGTACCTCCCTTTGTTTATGTTTTCTGTTTGCTTGCCTTTTTGTCTACAGACATTAAGTTCTTGAGGTAAAGACTGTGTCTTAGTCATCTTTCTAACTTGGGTACTTGATCAATAGACTAGAAGATTAGCAAATACTGGGTGAATAAATGCCTGACCTATGTCAATATAGACTAATTGCACCCAATTAAGTTCCTCCCTCCCTTGCTTCCTTCCTTCTTCCATTCTTCTTTTCTTCCTTTCCTCCTTCCTCCTACCCCTCTTTATTTCTCTTCTCTCTCTTATGGTTTGGAAGGTTTTTTGTTGTTGTTGTTGTTGTTGTTGTTGTTTTTCAGTCCTACATATGGTGTTACACCGGGCTTATCAATGGATCATTTTTTGGATGAATGTCATCCCTGATATTTCTTCCAGGTAACCCTGGTCAGAGTTAGAGCCCTTTCACTGCCTCCTCCTAGATTTTTCTTCTCTTATCATCATACACACACACACACACACACACACACACACACACACACATGCACACACATATGTACATGGGGATTCCACAGGGGAATATATATATAAATAAATATATATGTATTTATTATACATGGCCATGAGTATTATCAAACAACTGGCACAATACAGAAAGATGGTTACCAGCTTCTAAATCAAAGACTCTTAATTTTGTACTTCACTTTCCTGTCACACACTCCTGCAAGATGCTGAACCAAAAGTGCCCTTAGAACTAGCTGGGCTCCATAGAAGAACATAATATATGTTATGTATGTATTATGCACATACACATATCTGCTACATATATTATGTATAGATATACAGACACACAAACATACATATATATATATACGTACACATATATCTATGTTAATATCATATCATGGCCAAGATAGTCCTGTTCTCTGTCACATTTGCTTCCAGTGGAGTTGGCGCAAAGCAGTGAAGATAAGGGATAGAGGAGTAGAAATGAGCCCCAAATGCTACATTCCTTAGGTAGAGTCTAGTAGGGTTCCATTATTTCCTCTCTCAATTCCCGTTACCTCTGATACTGGGACATCCCCAGAGTCTTTGGTAGTCATTAGCATTGTCCATTAAATATTTTCCAGATGCATGATAGGACTTCATTTACTTGCCTAAATAGAAGCAAAAGGGCCACTTTCAGACAGATGCTCCTAGAGCAGAGATGTGATTCACCACTCTCAGAAAGCAGCTGCTCCATCAGCTTGGTCCCAGAGTGAGGACAATGATGAGCAAGCAATGACGAACAGGAAGGGAGGAAGGGACTAGCTTAATTGGGTGCAATTAGCCTACATTGACATAGGTCAGGCATTTATTCACCTACCGTCTTGTACTGCCATGCACTAGGGTTGTGAGATGGAGCTTCATTATGTTAAGTCACTAAGATTTGCAGGTTATTGGTTACCACAACATAATCTAGTCTTCCTCGACTGATGCAGAGCCACTGAAATCGAGTTTTCTCCTCACTAAATCCTCCGGGTGGGGATTCCACAGGGAAAGGTGGCCATGATATGATATTAACATAGATATATGTACATATGTGTATGTGTTTGTGTGTGATTACATATATATGTGTGCGTGTGCGTGTGTGTGTGTATGTGTATGTATATATATATATATATATATATATATATATATATATATATATATTTCCCTGCTGCTCCTGCTGCCCTGAGCTAACCTCTGTGGGTGGGGAGACATGGTTCTTCATCCTTACCTGATTTGTTCCTGACACTCTTATCAGTTGGAGCTTGAACCATTGCTTCGCCACCATGTACACCACTTCCTTTGGGGAACTGCTCCTGCCTCACCAGCCTTGAATGCAGGCAGGCTTCCTGCGGCATGAAGAAAGTCCATCTGCAGTAGAAGTGGGTGCTGTCAACATACACAGCAGCAGAAACAAGAGCTATGGAAAGAGAGAAACCTGACAGTTTTGTGAGCTAAGAAATCTCTCCCGGTTCTTAAACTCATCTCAGGTGTTTATCTAACAGTCGTAACAGAAATAATTCTTACTAATTCATCCAGCAATATTAAATCTTCTCTCTCTGAGTGATCCTGCTTTCCCATTTTTCTTCCCTTTATGCTATGGTGGCAAGTACACAAGTGACTCCAGGTCCTTGGTCGAGATCTTCTTGGTAAACAGGCACTCAGCTCTGAGAGCCTCAGGGCTATGCAATCATTAAATTCTCTTAGCCAGAAGTCAGATAGACACGCGCTTCAACTTCCTGAACACAGCTGGAACCAAAGTAAGTAAAAAGACCTATAAGCAGATAAAATGCAGTCCATACAACTCATACTCAACCTCTTGAATATTACTCTAAGGATTATCTATTCATAAAACCTCAGAGTTAATTTCCTCTCATTGTACTTAAGATGATAATACTTTCTCAATTTTCTTCTACCTTGGAATATAAGTAGTCAATTCAAAAGGATGGGGAGGGAGTGCTTTTCCTCTCAGTGGTGGAAAGTGACACTGGCTAGTCCATCAAAGAAGAGTCAGAAAAACTACAAATGACAAGCTAAATGCTTCAAGACTGGGGCCATAAGATGTTAGAAAAACAGTGTTTTATATAACTAACACCTTCTGTATCTCACTGAACATCATTGCTTTTACAGCTCCGTGCACAAGAAGACGCTACTAGTGGTGACCCTAAGTCAATATAATGTTAAATTCTGTTTGGGATATTTGGTTTATTAAGGCAGGGGGCTGTTTAAGTTAATTAAAAAATATGATATGATGAATTGTTTCAAATGCTTGGCATTCAAGAAGTTAAATCCCCATTTTTTTCCTTGGCAAATTTATTTATGTAGAACAGTCTTTCTTTGATAGTGCTGAGTCCATGAAGTGAACTGTATTGTTTATCAATATAAATAATTTACAGTACGGACATATTTATCTTGTTTGTGTGCACACTGTTTAGTATGAGATAATGTTTGTGGATGTGTTTTGTAATCGGTAGAATACAATACAATGTGCTTTATCATCGTACTCCCTGGAAGTCCTGAATGACATTGATATTCATTGGCTTCTTCTTCCTTAGGAATCCCTGGATGAGCCATTCTCAATGTCTAGTGTACATAAAGTTCCACTGGGAAGCTTGTTGAGAGTGCAGATTCCCAAGTCTCATTCTTAGTTATACTGATTTAATTGATCTGGGGTAGAATCCAGAAACCTGGATTTTAAATAAGGACCACCCCCCTCCCCTGTCCTGCTGTTCCAAATGATTCTCACACAGGCAGTCCAAAGTCTAACCTTTTACAAAATACAGCTCTCTGCTGGTCTACAGCCCCCAGTTGCCCTGGGATGGTTCCCTTTTTCCCACTGGGCCTGAAAGGAAATCTTCCCCTCTATACAGTGTCTGTGTCAGAACCCAGACCTGAGTCATTGAACAGAGGGTGGAAATCATAAAATAAAATAGGATCTGGTTGAGGTGACTGGAATAAGTTGGAGAAAAAAAAAATAAAGACTTCCTAAGTCAAGTTTTAGGTGGTGGTATAATTAGAATTATTATCCATTATTTATGTGGCAGATGATGTTCATGAGGTGCTTGATGACTCTGTCTTAATAGGCAGTGGTTCTGCTGAAGGAGAAGGTGACATTGGTCTGTTCTTTCCCCCTGCTGCTTCCCTCCCGCTGTCTCTACTCTTCTATTGAGCCCAGCTAGTTCTAATGGCAGTTTTGGTTCAGCACCTTACAGGAGTGTGTGACAGAAAAGTGAAGTACAAAATTAAGAGCCTTTGATTTAGCAACTGGTGGCCATCTTTGTGTAATGTGCCAGTTGTTTGATAATACTCATGGCCATTCCTTGACCACCATCTCTGTGTTGGACATTTGTCATCTATGATCTCATTAAATACTCATAACAGCCTTTCAAGTAGACTTTATCTCTTTAAAGATGAGGAAACTCAGGTTCACAGAGGTTAAGTGACCAGCCCATGGCAACACAGCCAATAAATAGTGCAACCAGGTGATCTGAATCTAACATGCATCACCTTTCCACTACTTGTCCCCAAGAGCTCTCAAAGAAAAGAGCACGTTAGGGCTCTTTTGTTTCTGTAGGTCATCCTGGATCTCGTTAGTGCTTTGCCCTTATTATGGTCAATAGTGACCTTTGCCCTCTCTTGCCAAATTCATTTAGTCTTCTCTGCTTTTTCCCAGTGTCATGGCCTAGATTGCTCTATAAAGGGGCACTTTTGGCAGAGCAGGGATCCGTCTTAACCCGAAGCTTTCTGAGAACAAAAAGCACTGGGTACGTGTCATCCTTCCTCTGTCAATGAACCCCATGAGCTTTGCTGTTGCCTTTGCTATGACAAGTAATTTTTTCCTTCTTTCACCTGAACATAGCCTTTCGAAAATCAAGACCTATTATGTAAGGCTGGCATGTCCTAGGAGAAAGGGAAAACACAAAGTTAAGCATAGTCTGTCAAAATCAGGGGCAACTGGGCTTGAAAAATCCTTGCTCTTCAGGGGCAGTGATATCCCAGTTTAGTGTAATGAAAGTCATCATGCCCAGTGTCGTCTAACAATCTGACTTTAATGGGGTTACTATAGCTGGGGTAAAGCATTTTATATGGAACCAGGTTTACATTATCCTACTCTTTAGAGATCTTGCTTGCAATGCTGTTCAAATCCTTTAATCCATAAATAGGATTCCAGACAGCACTGGGCTGCCTTCCAAAACTGTAATCTTCCAGTATATGAATTATTACCAAAAGATTAGGGTGTTTCTAGTAATAACATTTCAAATAAATCAGCTTTCATGGAGGAACAACAAACTAATATTGGAAATAACAATATAAAGACATTTATATAGCCACTTGCTAGAATAACTTCCCTAACCAGGGGCTTCTTTTCTCATTTACATTCATTCTGTTCGAAAAGTCTTTTTTCATTTATTGTCAGCTGCTGGCTTTAGCCTTAAAGCATGCCACATGTTCTCTTGTCCTGGGACTCTTTGATGCCTGTGAAATCAGCAGTTCTGTCTACCTAGGGATGGTCAGAGATGTTGACTACTCTCCCTAGAAACTCTAGGTCCCTTTGGTCTTTCTCTTTGACTCTGAGGAAGTGTGTAGGAAAAGCTACATTTACATTTCAGGCTGGAAAATACTCTTTCGGGGCTTCATATCAAAGATTATAAATGAGATTGTGATGTAGAAGAAAGAGTTCCTTGCATGGCTTTAGGGATTGAGTCCTTTTTGGTGGCACAGAGATCTGTTGACAGTAAAGATTTACTCAGCATGTATACACCATGGTGATGACCCCAAGGCTGTGTGATGTGAGCAGACAGGACTTGCCTTATACCTTGATGAATTCTGGCTACATTGCTCAGCAGTCTTAGGAACACTGGGCAACTTTCTTCACCCCTTTGTTCCTCTATTTTCTCATCTATAAAATGGGGATATGTACTACCCTATGGGGTTATTGAAGTTAAATGAAGTATCAGTGGTAAAGTCAGAACTCCATACTATGAGTTTTTTCGTCTCCTTTTTACTGTTCTTTTAAACCATTTGAGTTCATGGTGATGCGGCTGATAGATAGTGAGGAGCTTGCCTCTCTTAGCCACAGATGGCTGCTTTGAGAAATACCTCCAGGCTAGAAGCAAAGATATTTGCTTAATGCCCATTTCTGTGACTCATGTCTGTGACCTTGAGAGAGTTGTCACACTTCTGGATCTCCATTCCATCTGCTATTAGAGAAAGTGTCTAGCTCCTTTCTACCTTGTTAGGTGAGAAGGCAGTAAAGTCAGTATTCATATATGAGCTCACATTTTAAGGAGACATTTCATAGTCATAGAATTTTAATGCTAGTAGAGGTTATCTAGGAAGAAGAGGAATTAACATTTATTAAAAGTACTCACCATGTTCAAAGTACTTATATGCTTTGCCATATTTAATTTTAACAACCTCATTAGGGAGGTGGAGTTATGCCCAATTTACAGATGTGGAAGCTGAGGCTCAGAGAGTCACTTTTAGTTAATTTACTCCAGATTGCACAGCTAAGATGTGGTGGAGACAGACCTCAAAAATTATATAACTCCAAAGTCTTCCTATTGCACTGTTTTTACCCTCCATGATTCTTATTTTACAGATGACCAACAGAACTGGACTTAAATCATTCATCCATGGACTTAGCTGGTTAGTGAAAAATGCAGGACTAGAACCTGAGTTTCCTGACGGCTATTCCTGTGCACCAGCTCCCCACCCAGCCCTGAGAATTGGTAGACATCGTCTAATGTCACCGTATGTCTTATATTATTATTTCAAAGACGTTTTGTTTTCATTTCTGATGGCTTTTCTACAGACACAGGCTCCTGACATTTTAGTTCTAAGACTCTCTTCTTATATGAAAAGGTTGGAATAGTTGATTTCTTTGGTTCCTGCTAGCTCAAAAATTCTATTATTCCTATGACCCTCCATTCCCCATAGTAGTTAATGATCTGTAAAGAAACACTTAAATGCACCGGTTTACTACCTTCTCACTGCAATCTAGAGGGAAGCCAGCTATTAATTTTTTTTTTCAAAAGGGAGATCTGAGACCCACATTGCTTGAGCAACTAACTCAAGGACATAGCTCATCAGTGGCAGAGCCAGGCCTGGAATGCTCGAAGGAGATTGTGTTTTGTTCACCTGTTAATCTCAACCCTTAGCAGAGGGGCTACTTGTTTACAGTAGAATAAATATGCTCATGCATTAATGAGCCATGAGTGAAGTTGAACCCAGGCTCCCCAACCCCCAGTATAGGCTTCCATTAGCAGGTCCCTTTTCCCCCAAACCTTTCGTAATGAAGGAGATTTGCCTGTTTGCTAAGTGCTTCATATGTTAGGTTTCCTAAAAGCAAAGTGGCTCCACAGAGTACATTTCAAAAAGTGGAGGTCTTATTTGTTATTTGCAGATCACTGGGGTGGCAGGTCTGAATTCAGACCTGGGAGGATGGATGAGTGAATTTGCACACACCACTCCAATCTACTTCTACTCTTTCAATTTAAGGCAGCATTATTATATTATTAATGGGATGGGAGAGGGGATGCCTGGAGAAGAGATATTTGTGAAATGTCTCTTCAGATTAAAGGAGCTTTGAAATGGAAAGCATTAGCCCTCTGATTAACTGAGCCCTGCACTTTACATTTTGGACTTTAAAATAAAAAAGAAAAGAGAAAAATCACCACTGTGTTTTTGGAAGCTTGTGTCATTTTTTTTTTCCTTTCCCTTTCCAGCCTTCCGCTTAGCTGCCCCGAAAGGCAGGCAATGATGAATGGCGCCTACTACAAAAGAAAGCCGCAGGCACACATGGGCCCGGTGTTGTTTCTGTCAGGGCAGCTCAAAGGGAAGGCCGCACCACACGGTGAGTTCCCCTTTTCTCCCTAAACAAATGTTGTTTTTACTGAAGTGGGGCCGGTCTGATTTACTTACAGGGGGAGAGAGAAAGAGACCATCCATTCTTCTGCTCCATGGAGAAGAGACATTGGCAGGCTTGGGTGGGATGAGAACCAGAATGCACCAGTCCTCAGGGCCCCTGGCTCAATTACTCTTTCTGCCTTGGTTTCCCCATCTGTCAAAACCAAAACAAAGCTTTCCTAGCTGTCTCAGGGGGTGTGGAAGGACTGCTTTTATAAATTAATCTGATGACACAAAGTGTGGGAAAGGGCAGAAAGGGGCATGAGAGGGTCTGTGCCAACCAGCGGCAATGACTTCATACATTTGTTTTCTGTCAGTATGAGAGGTGGGGACAGGGCTGGGTAAATGACAAGGGCTGAAACATATTTTTCCTTGGGGATTTTTTGGAATAGACCAGGTGCCACTCTTCATTTCCCCAAACACAGGCAAAGATAC